>NC_000014.9:73854137-74005652 GCF_000001405.40 Homo sapiens | reverse complement strand
TATTTTTAGTAGAGATGGGGATTCACCATGTTGGCCAGACTGGTCTTGAACTCCTGACCTCAGGTGATCCACTCCCCTCAGCCTCCCGAAGTGCTGGGATTACAGGCGTGAGCCACCGCACCTGGCCAGTTGTTCATTTTTAAGAGTTAATAGCAGCCGATGTGATGGCTCACACCTGTAATCCTAGCATGTTGAGAGGCCAAGGTGGAGGATTGCTTGAGGCCAGGAGTTTGAGAGCAATCTGACAAACATAGTGAAACCCTGCCTATATTTCTTTTCTTTTTTTTTGAGACCGAGTCTTGCTCTCTCACCCAGGCAGGCATGAGCCACCACGCCTGGTTTATTTCTTTTTTTCTTTTTTTCTTTTTTTCTTTTTTTTTTTTTTTTGAGACTGAGTCTCACCCTATCGCCCAGGCTGGAGTGCAATGGTGCGATCTCAGCTCACTGCAACCTCCATCTCCCGGGTTCAAGCAATTCTCCTGCCTCAGCCTCCCGAGTAGCTGGGATTACAGGCATGTCCCATCATGCCCAGCTAACCTGGCTTATTTCTATATATTATTTTTTTCTAAGAATAAACAAATGAACAAAAACAGTTAATATCATTGGAATAACATGCAGGTCCTAAAATAAGAAGTATGTAAGATGTGTTTATTGAAATATATATATGGTATACTGGAAAAAAAACCCCACAAAATATTACACAAATACTGGTTACAGCTTACAGTAGCCAGCCTCCAAGATGCCCCCCAGTGATGCTCACCTCCTAATATTCATGCCTTTGTGTAGTCCCCTTTTACAGTTCGTCAGGGTTGGTCTGTATGAGCATTAGAATATAGGGATATGATAGTGTATGACTTCCAAAACAAAGTCATAAAAGACATTACTGCTTCTGCCCTGCTCTTCTTGGATTGACTGCTCTGGAGGAAGCCAGCCACTGGGTTATAAAGACATTCAAGCAGCCCTATGGAGGATCTACACGGGGAGCTACTGAGACTTCCTGCCCACAGCTGGCATCAACTTGCCAACCATTGAGTGAGCCATCTTGGAGGTGGGTCTTCCAGGCCTAGTCAAGCCTTCAGATTGACTGCAGCCCCAGCCTACATCTTGACTGCAATCTCATGAGAGCCTCAGAGCCAAAACTGTCTAATTAAACCACTCTCAGAGTCCCAAACCACAGAAATAATGAGATAGGCCGGGCGCAATGGCTCACACCTGTAATCTCAGCACTTTGGGAGGCCAACGCAGGTGGATCACCTGAGGTCAGGAGTTTGAGCCTGGCCAATATGGCGAAACCCCGTCTCTACTAGAAATACAAAAATTAGCCGGGTGTGGTGGGGGGTGCCTGTAGTCCCAGCTACTTCGGAGGCTGTGACAGGAGAATCACTTGAACCCAGGAGGCAGAGGTTGCAGTGAGCCAAGATCACGCCACTGCACTGCAACCTGGGCAATAGAGGGAGACTCTGTCTCAAAAAAATAAAAAAGGGATGAGATAATAAATATTTTTATTGCTTAATACATGTATTTATTTACTTAATTAATTTATTTTTTGAGACAGGGTCTTGCTCTGTCACCCATGCTGGAGTGCAGTGGCATGATTCTAGCTCACTGCAGCTTCGAACTCCTGGGCTTAAGTGATCCTTCTGCCTCAGCCTCCCAAGTAGCTGGGACTGCAAGTGTGCACTGCCATGCCTGGCTAATTTTTTCATTAAAAAAAAATTTTTTTTAATAGGGTTTTGCTGTGTTGCCCAGGCTGGTCTCAAACTCCTGGGCTCCAGTGATCCTCCTGCCTTAGCCTCCCAAGTGTTGGGATTTACAGGCATGAGGCACCATGCCCAGCCAATTTTTTTTTTCTTTTTTTCTTTTTCTTTTTTTTTGATTCTTCAGCTAAGACAGCAGAAGAGATGATTTATCGTATGGTTGTTATACTCGGCCACAAGTAAACACAGAAATAGTCCAGAATGTCCCAGGTCCAGGGCAGAGGACCAACATGGGCAGTTTTGGTTATGAGCAAGGTGGGTCTCAGAGGTGATCAGCGATCAGAGGGCGGTGAAGTTCTGGATCCATTGAGACAAGCTCTACACAATAGCATGCAGTCCCACAACTTGTACCAGCATCCCCAGCATCTGGCATTCCATGTTTCTGCTCCTGTGTGGCCTCCACGGTGCAACAAGCTAGCGGTTTACTTGGACCTCTGCCTCATCTTTCTTCTTTTGTGCTTCAGACTGCACATTCGCTTTTTCCTCCACTTAGCTCTCATGATGCAGAGGTTTCCAAGAAAATGGCGCTAAGGCTGAGAGAAACCCTAGCCCATTTCTATTGTCAGTTTTTATTGAATTCCACCTTGGACGCTCTTCTAGGTTCTTGGGTTACACCAGTAAACAAAAAGATTTCTGCTCTTGAGGAGCTTATATTCTATCAGAGGAACACAGACAATAAATATCAGTAAGCTTTCCAGTATGTTAGAATGTGATAAGTGGTGTGGAAAAAAGAAAAGTGGATCAGAGTAAGGGGAGTTGAGAAAGCAGGTAGAGGTGGGAGCATGTGAAGGTGAGAGGTTATAGTATTAAGTAGATCTCAATAAGAAAGTGATTTTTAAACAAGTATTTGAAGGAGTTGCAGGAATTCATCAAGTGGATATATAGGAAAAGAATTTCTAGGCAGTGGGGACAGCTTAGAGCGAAGGCCCTAAGGCAGGGGCATGAGTGAATAAGCGCAGAGGTCAGTGTTGGGGGAGAGTAAGGTGAAAACTATTAGTAGATGGGGTCAGAGATGTAGTGGGGATGGAAGCAGAAGGCTATTTTCAGGACCTTGTTTCTCTGAAATGGGGAGCCAGTGCTGGATTTTGCATAAAACAGAGACATACTCTAATTTATATTAAAGGATGACTTTGGTTGTTTGTTAAAAGGAGACAAACTCCAGGGGAGTGAGGATAAAAGCAGGAAGATCTGTTAGGACAATATTAGCAAATCACATGAAAGATGATAGTGGCTTGGGCGAAGGTGGTAGCAATGGAAGTGGTCAGAAATGGTCGGATTCTGGAAATGTATTCAACAGCAGGAAATTAAGATCTTCAAAATCTCTTGATTAGCTGGGCACAGTGGCTCAACCCTGTTATCCCAGCTATTCAGGAGGCTGAGGCTAGAGGATTGCATGAGGCCAGGAGTTCAAGACCAGCCTGGGTAACATAGTGAGACTCCATCTCTACATAAATAAATAAATAAGCTCTTGATTTTATGTAAGAAGGTCAGACTGCTGTAAGACTTTCACATCCTGATGGAAGTCTCACTTTCCAGCCTCATCTCAGACCATTCTCTGCTCTACACTCGCCTCCCCACTCCCATATCTGTCTTTTCCAAGAGCCCTGTTAGATAATCCTTCTTGGGTGGCCTACTAGTTAAGACTGTGGCTCTGGAATTAAACCATCTGGGTTTGATTTCTGGCTCATTTCATTTAACTACGATGTGGTCTTAAGATACTTAGTTTCTCTAAGCTCAGTTTTCTCATTTATAAAATGGGAATCTTAATAATAGCACCTAACTCACAGAGCAGTAATGTGAGATTAAATGAGCTAATCTATGTAGAATACTTAACATCATGCTTGGCATCTACTAAGATCTCCGTAAATATTGGTTACTATTTTTTTAAAATCTCAGATTATGTTTCTTTGACCACAATCTTTATCCTCTGCATTAAATGCTAACCCTCTTCTTCTATATCCTCTTTCACTAGTTTTCTACTTTTTGTTTCTCAAATTCATATAAAAAATTCTTGAGGACATTGGCTTTTAATTATTATTATTTGAGACAGGGTCTCACTCTGTCGCATAGGCTGGAGTACAGTGGTGCCGTGCAATCACAGTTCACCTCAGCCTCCACTTCTCAGGCTCAAATGATCCTCATACCTCAGCCTCCTGAATAGTTGAGACTACAGGTGTGTACCACCATGCCTGGCTTTTTTTTTTTTTTTTTTTTTTTTTTTTTTTTTTTGAGATGAGGTCTTGCTCTCTCGCCAGGCTGGAGTGTAGTGGCATGATCTCGGCTCACTGCAACCTCCGCCTCCCAGGTTCAAGCGATTCTCCTGCCTCAGCCTCCCGAGTAGCTCGGACTACAGGTGCCCGCCACCATGCCTGGCTAATTTTTTTCTTTTTTTTTGGGATGGAGTCTTGCTCTGTTGCCCAGGCTGGAGTGCAGTGGTGCAATCTCGGCTCACTGCAAGCTCGGCCTCCCAGGTTCACGTCATTCTCCTGCCTAACCCTCCCGAGTAGCTGGGACTATAGGCACCCGCCATCACACCCAGCTAATTTTTTGTATTTTTAGTAGAGACGGGATTTCACCGTGTTAACCAGGATGGTCTCGATCTCTTGACCTCGTGATCCGCTTGCCTTGGCCTCCCAAAGTGCTGGGATTACAGGCATGAGCCACTGCGCCCAGACACACCCTGCTAATTTTTTAATATTTTGTAGAGATAGCATTTCACTATGTTGCCCAGGCTAGTCTCAAACTCTTGGGGTCAAGCAATCCTCCCACTTTGGCCTCCCAAAGTGCTAGGATTACAGGCATGAGTCATCATACCTGGCCTCGCTATTTTTAATTTTTATACGGATAGGGTCTCACTGTGTTGTCCAAGCTGGACTTGCACTCCTTGGCTGAAGTGACCCTCTTTCCTCAGCCTCCTGAGTACCTGGGACTATGGTCACGTGCCACTCCATATGGCTCTTGAGGAAATTTTTAAATGAAATCAAACGATACTTTTCCTATCATCTTTTTCTAATCTCTCTGGTCTTTATACACATCTGGTCTCTATTATTTCTGTAGTTATTTCTGTCCATTTTTCATGATTGCTTACATGTCATTTCATTTTTTTTGTTGTTGTTTTGAGACAGGTTCTTGCTCTGTTGCCCAGGCTGGAGTGCAGTGGCATGATCTCGGCTCCCTGCAGCCTCGCCTCCCAGGTTCAAGCAATTCTCCCACCTCAGCCTCCTGAGTAGCTGGGATTACAGGCACACCACCACGCCTGGACAATTTTTGTATTTTTAGTAGAGATGGGGTTTCACCATATTGGCCAGGCTGGTCCTGAACTCTTGACCTCAGGTGATCCACCCTCCTCGGCCTCCCAAAGTGTTGGGATTACAGGCGTGAGCCACTGTGCCCAGCCATTTCTTTTATATATGCTTATATATATATTTTTTAAATTGAGACGGGGTTCAGTCTTGTCACCCAGGCTGGAGTACAGTGGTGCGATCTCAACTCACAGCAACCTCCACCTCCCAGGGGGCTCAAGCAATCCTCCCACCTCAGCCTCCCAAATAGCTGGGACTACAGGTGCATTCCACCATGCCTGACTAGTTTTTGTATTTTTGGTGGAGATGAGGTTTCATCATGTTGCCCAGGCTGGTCTCGAACTCCTGAGCTCAAGCAATCTGCCTGCCTTGGCCTCCCAAAGTGCTAGGATTACAGACGTGAGCCACTGTGCCTGGTCTCAAATGTCTTTTCTTGATGCGTTTCCAAATCCTCTAGGGAGTTAGTCCTGTGTTTTTGTTCCTTTACCTTTTTTTTTTTTTTTTTTGAGATGGAGTCTCGCTCTGTCGCCCAGGCTGGAGTGCAGTGACGCGACCTCGGCTAACTGCAACCTCCGCCCCCTGGGTTCAAGTGATTCTCCTGCCTCAGACCCCTGAATAGCTGGGATTACAGGTGCATGCCACCATGCCTGGCTAATTTTTAAATTTTTGGTAGAGATGGGGTTTCATCATGTTGGTCAGGCTGGTCTGGAACTCCTGACCTCATGATCCGCCCGCCTTGGCCTCCCCAAGTGCTGGGATTACAGGTGTAAGCTACTGCGCCCGGCCCTTTACCTTTTTTTTTGAGACGGAGTCTCGCCCTGTTGCCCAGTCTAGAGTGCAGTGGCTTGATCTTGGCTCACTGCAACCTCCGCCTGCCAGGTTCAAGCAATTCTCCTGCCTCACCCTCCTGAGTAGCTGGGATTACAGGCACGCGCCACTGCGCCTGGCTAATTTTTGTATATTTAGTAGAGACGGTTTTACCATGTTGGTCAGTCTGGTCTCAAACTCCTGACCTCATGATCCGCCCACCTTGGCCTCCCAAAGTGCTGGGATTACAGGAGTGAGCCACCGTGCCCGGCCTACCTTTGTTTTTTTTGGGGGGGTGGGGGGCAGAGTCTTACTCTGTCACCCAGGCTGGGGTGCAATCCTGTGATCTTGGCTCACTGCAACCTCTGCGTCCTGAGTTCAAGCAATTCTCGTTCCTCAGTCTCCTGAGTAGTTGGGATTACAGGCGCATGCCACCACACCTGGCTAATTTTTGTATTTTTAGTAGATATGGGGTTTCACCACGTTGGCCAGGCTGGTCACGAACTCCTAACTTGAGGTAATCCACCCACTTTGGCCTCCCAAAGTGCTGGGATTACAGGCGTGAGCTACTGCGCCTAGCTTCTTTACCATTTTTATGCTTAGTTTAAAAAGTTACGGTTATTTTTATATATGTCTGCCACCTCTGCCAGACTCAGCATCTTGAATAAAAAGATCTGTTTTCCTCACCTTTACTTTTCTGGCACCTAGCAGTTAGTAGGCATCAGTAAGCATTAGTAGAATTAAGCAATTGAGTGGTCCTGACAAGGCTCCTGACTGCAGTCCTTACATGTAACTACCAGATTCGTATTTGGATACTCCCTAGTTCAATATCTTCAGTGGCTTCCTATCACCTGCAGAGTAAAGTCCAAACTCCTTAGCTGAGTATTTGGTGTCCTCTACTATGTGACCTCAATCTATCTCTTCAACTTTATTTTCTACTATAGTTGGTCAAACTGATCCATTCACTGTTCCTCAGGGGCCCCCATCCCTTTTCCACATCCGTGTCTTGATTCATGGTTTTATTCCTGAAAAGCACTCCTTGCCTGTCCTAATTCATTTCCCTCCTCAGGACCCTCCTCAGATACGACCTTTTTCACAGAGCCTTCTCCATCATCCCAGCTTTGAAGTTTCAGAGCATAGTAACTGTGCTGCTTGACACATTTTCACTTTATAGAGGTAATTTATGGACATGTATTTTTTTTTTCCAACTTAGTATAGTTTCTTAGGGTTTCTTAAAGTTTCTAAGATGATTTATCTTTGTGTGCTGTACTTGTAAGCAGCAGTAAGAAATTGCTAATTTCTGGAATGGCTGTCACTGTCGGTTACTACAGGTTGAATGAAGGGGACAAACGCAGAAATGAAGACAAAGACAAAAGGATCTGTTTCGAAAGAAGGGGTCAGGGAGCTCCTTGCTTCTAGTGAGCAAAGGCAGCCCTGAGCTTCTACCGCCCTTCGTATTTATTAGATAGAAAGAGCAGGGAGGGAGAGGTAACAGTTGGTCAGCTGCTAGATTTATCACAGGTACACATAATTGCTTTCTTTGTACAACAGGCTTCAGATGCTCCTATAGATAATTGCAAGGAACACTGCGCTGGGGGTGTGACTGCCCTCAGCACCCCTTCTGGTGGCAGACGCAGTTTGTCAGTTTTCCAACATCCTGCTTTCATGAGAACAGTTTTCTGTTTGCTCATATAACCTCCAATGGCATACTGAGTTGGTCACGACCCTCATTCTTTCTGCCTGTAACACATGGCCAAATGAATGAATGAATATAGGAACAAATAGGCTTCACATGCCCTATCCATGGTCTAGTTTGGAGGGGAATTGGGAGTTGGACATGTAATACCTAGGCCGTAGTGGAACACTGGGAAAGGGGGTACTCCTTGCCCTATTGCTTCTGCCTGCATATTCCATTAGCCTAATTGTACCAAGTCCATTTGGGATTCAATTACTGGTGTCCAGCATGTTCCAGGCCTAATATTAATACCTGTCTTTGGTAATACAAAAGATACCATGCACCACCCACCTTAGACATCCTTCAGATAGCAAGGTGTGTCAGGGCTGTGGCCCTTTGTATTATAAGTTATATCCTCAAATAAGGCATTGCTCACTTTGCTGCAGCCTGTCCTGAACTTAGCTTATTAGACCTACCTTGGTTTTGCTTGGCTTGGCTTACTTATGCACTGGGTGGTTTAACTATATTGGTTCCATAGTTCAGCTTACTGTTTAAAAATTTCATTCTAGTTACATTTTAAACTTGCCTTATGTTTAATTTTTAACTTGTTAAGGCTAGCTTTGCTGTGGAGCTCAGATGAATTGTCAGTGGGAGCTTTTACATTTCACTCTTTTTGGACCTTTTGGTGGACCTTTCTAATCACCTATCCAATTTTCCACTGTTGTGAGATACTGTATTATTTTATCCAAGTCAATCAATAATGATATTTGCTTAGGGAGTCAACAGAAAGACATAACTAACAATCAATCTCACTATGGGAAAGGAAAACAAGTCCACTCCTTTTGAAATCTGATTCTCTGCTTCCAGAGCCATTTTCCCTCACTCTGGCTGTCTTTATTCTGGTACACCTCTATATTCCAGCTGTACCAAGCTGTTAATACTTGAAGTTCTCAGAATCCTCCTTGTGTCATTTTCCCAGGATAATTCCTACCTCTCATCCCTCAAGAAGCTTCCCAGTCCCATCCCACCTTCACCTTTCCCCTTCCAAGCCAAGTTTCTTGTCCCTTATGTCTGTTCCTAGAGCACTTTGTGTGCATTTCTGTCAGAGAACTTATCACAGTACATTACAGTCGTTGGTTTGCTTGTCTGGGTTTTGTTAGTTTGTTTTTTGAGACAGGTTCTTGCTCTGTAGCCCAGGCTGGAATGCAGTGATATAATCATGGTTCATGCAGCCTTGACCTCTTAGGCTCAAGCGATCCTCCCACCTTAGCCTTCTGAGTAGCTGGGACTACAGGTGCATGCCACCATGCCCAGATAATTTTTTTATTTTTGTAGAGACAGAGCTTCACTGTGTTGCCCAAGGTGGTCTTGAAATCCTGACCTCAAGTAATCCTCCTGCCTCGACCTTCCAAAGTGCTAAGATTACAGACAAGAGCCACTGTGCCCAGCCCTGTTTTCTCCAGTAAGCTGAAATTTCTTCTATATCGGATTCCTCTGTATATATCAAGAATCTAGCACAGTGCCTGGTATATATTAGATACTCAGTACATGCTTATTAACTAGACAGGTGAATGCCCAGGTTTCTAAAGTTTTTTTTTTTTTTTTTTAAGAGACCAAGTTATGTTCCATCCAGGTTTCTAAATTCTGTGTCAGGGATGGAAGGTATTGAGAAGTGCTATTAACTTTTCTATTTGGCTAACAAAAACACAGAAATGAGTTGCTGAGCAGCTTCCGCCCTATGAGCGATAATCCTACTAGTTGGAAGTTAACTATGATAAAAGTAGATGAACGAATTGTGTACTCAGAGAAAAAGAGAGTAAGGGAGGAGGGAAGGATAGAGAAGGGAGTGAGTTAGCAAAATGCCACACTGTTAGTTGCAAACTGGCACAAAGGTGAATGCGGTTCATGAGGCTCGCTTGATTAAGAAGAGCTGAAACAGGAGCAAAGAGCAAAAGGCAACCTGCAGCGAAAGCAAGGACTCAGGGAACCGGCAGACACAAGCAGGTGAGCACATGAATGGGGCCCAGGTCCTCTGGGATTGTGGTCTCTCAGGCTTCCGGGGACATGGAAGAAGGGAAGCCAGAGTGTGACGTTCTGGGAAAGCTGAGTGGGGAGGATTCATGTCTACTCCAGGTATAAAGAGACACAAAAGACCATAGAAGGAGATGGAGATAGTGACAAACACTGGCTGGCACCAGAGTCTCAACAAAAAGAATTGGAAACAGGGCTTTGTTGGGGGGTGAATAAGAGATAGTGAGCAAGAGAAAATGAGAAGACCAACTGTGAAAGGAGTAGATTTAAATGTACTGACGTATACATACCTCCCTAGTCTACAAAAAGTACGCCTATCTGCACTATTTTGAGTAGCATATAAAACTTGACACATTTGGATAAATGTCACCTTTATATAACAAATGTGGGGAAAACCTTCACTGAAGCTTGGAATTGTGATTTTTTTCAGGGGCTGGGTAATTTTTTGGAAAGCAGTCAGCTATTATTATTATTATTATTATTATTATTATTATTTGAGATAGAGTCTCTCTCTATCACTGAGGCTGGAGTGCAGTGGCACACTTAACAGGCGTGAGCCACTGTGCCCGATCAGCTGTTACATTTTTATTAAATGGGTGAGATCTAGTGCCTGAGTTACTGTATTATTGTTTATCCCTTTGGAGTATTCATTCAACATCTACTGTGTGCTCACACCACCATTCCAGCACCAGGAACACATAAAAAACAAAACAGATAAAAATTCCTGCTTACGGGCCAGCCAAGGTGGCTCATGCCTATAATCCTAGCATTTTGGGAGGCTGAGGCGGGTGGATCACTTGAGACCAGAAGTTTGAGAACAGCCTGGCCAACATGGCAAAACCCTGTCTCTATTAAAAATACAAAATTAGCCAGGCGCGGCGGCACATGCTTGTAATCCTGGCTGCTTGGGAGGCTGAGGCATGAGAATCGCTTGAACCCGGGAGGCGGAGGTTGCAGTGAGGTGAGATTGCACAACTGCACTCCAGCCTGGGTGATAGAGCAAGACTCTGTATTTAAAAAAAAAAAAAAAAATTCTGCCTGGCTATGTATAGTTCACATAGTGGGTAAAGGTGGCAGGAAACAGGAAATATGAAAATAAACAAAAGTAAATTATATAATGTGTTAGATGGTAAAAAGTCCTGTGGAGAAAAATAAACAGAAAAGGAAGATAGGAAAACATGATGTGGTCAGATGGGTTATAATTTTAAATAAGGTAGACAAGGAAGGTCTCACTGAGAAGCTGACATATTTGAGCAAAGATTTTAACATAGTGAACGAGCAAGCTGTGCAGACTCGGGTTCTGTAAAATAGGATGTCATTCTATAAATGTAAGACTTTTTTTTTTTTTTTGAGATGGAGTCTCGCTCTGTCGCCCAGGCTGGAGTGCTGGTGCAATCTTATCTCATTGCAACCTCCGCCTCCCGGGTTCAAGCGATTCTCCTGACTCAGCCTCCCAAGTAGTTGGGATTACAGGTGCCTGCCACCACGCCTGGCTAATTTTTGTGTTTTTAGTAGAGATGGGGTGTCACCATGTTGACCAGTCTGGTTTCGAACTCCTGACCTCATGATCCACCCACCTCGGCCTCCCAAAGTGCTGGATTACAGGCGTGAGCCACTGCACCTGGCACATTAGTTATTTTAAAATGGCTTACATTGCTCGGTGCGGAGGCTTGTGCCTGTTATCCCAGGACTTTGGGAGGCTGAGGCGAGTGGATCACCTGAGGTCAGGAGTTCGAAACCAGCCTGGCCAACATGGTGAAACCCCATCTTTACTAAAAATACAAAAAATTAGCCAGGTGTGGTGGTATGCGCCTGTAATCCTAGCTTCTAGGGAGGCTGAGGCAAGAGACTTTCTTGATTCCAGGAGGCAGAGGTTGCAGTGAGCCAAGATTGCACCATTGCACTCCAGCCTGGGCAACAGAGTGAAACTCCATCTCAAAATAAATAAATAAAGTTTAAAAAAATAAGACAATGCCTAATGCCATTTTAAAATAACTAATCTTAAAAGTGCGATTGCAAGTGGTTTAGAATGTAGTTACTGAGAGCTGAAAGGGGCATTCTATTTGTTCATCCTTTGCTTTCTCTAAAATCTATTGTTTGGTTTTACACTGAACAACTAGTATGACTCTGCAGGGTTTTTTGTTTGTTTTTTTTTGTTTGTTTTTTCGTGAAAACAGATACCTAGGATGTTTTTTTTCACCTTTGAAATCTCTGGAAGAAAAACAAATATTTACTTAATAGAAATAGAAGCTGGAGAAGTTTTTCAAAAACTACAATGATATATTAATACAAAATTTGGGTGACCCCTGAAGAAACTGCAGTCACACAGAGGAAGGAAAGCTGCTGCCTAGAATGCCATTAATTCACTTTCTGAGGGAAAAGAGGGACCCAGAGTTGGACAAAGCAAGGATCTGTTAACACTCAGAGACTCTGAAGAGTTGTTTCTGTTTCGAGTTATTTAGTTTGATCTACATGTCTAGCTCATTTGCTGTAAAAGAATCAGCCAGAGTGTGAACCTGGCCAGGCAGCTATCCTGTATCAGTGGTTGATTTCCTGGGATGAAGTTTCCTTTGTTTGGGATTGTAAAAGGTCAAACAATTTTGTCTGTTCCTCTCCTAACCAATAGCTCTTATTCTTAACTACAGGATAGAAGTTCAGCCTTGAATAGTGTTCTAACGGATGGTTCCAGCTCTGCTTTGGTAGTACCTAAGACCAAATCTAGTTATTTTAAATATTTTATTTATTGAGACAGGGTCTCACTCTGTACCTAGGCTGAAGTGCAGTAGTGCAGTCACAGCTCACTGAACCTCAACTTCCCGGGATCCAGAGATCCTCCCACCTCCAGCTTCCCAAGTAGCTAGGACCACAGGTGCATGCCACCACGTCCAACTAATTTTTGTACTTTTGGTAGAGATGGGGTTTCATCATGTTGCCCAAGCTGGTCTCGAACTCCTGACCTCAAACAATCCACTCACCTTGGCCTGTCGAACTGCCGGGATTACAGGCATGAGCCACTTTACCCAGCCTAAATATTTTAAAATTCCAAATATAGTTAACTTTGTTTTATGTATTTATTTTGAGATAGAATCTCACTCTATCTCTCATGCTGGAGTGCAGTGACACAGTCTCAGCTCACTGCAACCTCCGCCTCCCAGGTTCAAGCGATTCTCGTACTTCAGCCTCCCAAGTAGCTAGGACTACAGGCCTGTACCACCATGCCCGGCTAATTTTTGTATTTTTAGCAGAGACGGGGTTTCGCCTTGTTACCCAGGCTGGTCTCGTACTCCTGACCTCAAGTGATCCGCCCGCCTCGGCCTCCCAAAATGCTGAGATGATAGGCGTGCGCCACCACACCCAGCTGCAATTAACTTTAATTTGCTTTTTTTTTTTTTTTTTTGAGACGGAGTCTTGTTCCGTCGCCTAGGCTGGAGTTCAGTGGCACAATCTCCGCTTGCTGCAGCCTTTGCCTCCCAGGTTCAAGCAATTCTCCTGCCTCAGCCTCCCTAGTAACTGGAGCGACAGGCATGCGCCACCACGCCTAATTTTTTTTTGTATTTTAATAGAGACAGAGTTTCACCATGTTGGCCAGGCTGGTCTCAAACTCCTGACCTCAGGTGATCTACTCACCTCAGCCTCCCAAAGTGCTGGGATTATAGGCGTGAGCCACCACGCCTGGCCTAATTTGCTTTATTTTGTGTAATATGTCACCTGTGGGGAGGGAGACATTTTGATAAACCCTAGATACTCAACAAAGTTGAGATGATTGAGAATCCTTAATCTGTACTCCAAATATACGAAGTATTTTGTTAGAGCTGAAGGGCCTGGGAAATGGGAACTTTAGAATCAGATCTTGTCACTTAACCAGTAAACTATGACTTACATAAGAGATCCAGAGATGAAAGCTGGATCAGAAGACCCAAAACTGTTTGGTGCAAAGTACATAAAGTGCAAGTCAGGAAGCTTTACCTTAGAGGATAGATACGGCATTATTCATTAATACCGGAAGAAAATGGCAGAGAAAACGTTTATATACATACATATATATGAAAATATTTTATATATATATATACTTTTTTTTTGTGAGACGGAGTTTCGCTCTTGTTGCCCACGCTGGAGTGCAATGGTGCAATCTCAGCTCACTGCACCCTTCACCTCCCGGGTTCAAGTGATTCTCCTGCCTCAGGCTCCCGAGTAGCTGGGATTACAGGCTATTTAAAAAAAAATTTTTAAATAAACATAAAATTAAAATACATAGAATATATTTTATATGTAAATATACAGAGCAGGAAAATTAGCCAGCAGACAGCTGGCAATGTCTGGAGACGTTTTTGGTTATCACAACTGGTTGTGGGTGGAGGGGCGGGATGTGCTATTGACCTCTAGTGGATAGAGGCTGGGGATACTGCTAAACATCCTACCTTACACAGGACAGCGCCCACATCAAGCCCTAATTGTTTTTTTTTTTTTTTTTTGGTTATTGTTTTTTTTTTTTTAAGACAGATTCTTGCTCTGTCCTCCAGGCTGGAGCACAGTGGTGCGATCTTGACTCACTGCAGCCTCCGCCTCCCGGGTTCAAGTGATGTTCCTGCCTCAGCCTCCTGAGTAGCTGGGATTACAAGCATGCACCACCACAACTAACTAATTTTTGTATTTTAGTAGAGACGGGGGTTTCACCACGTTGGCCAGGCTGATCTCAAACTCCTAACCTCAAGTGATCCGCCAGCATTGGCCTCCCAAAGTGCTGGGATTACAGGTGTGAGGCACTGCTCCTGGCCCCTAAATGTAAACAGTGCTAAGATTAAGAAACCCTGACCTTGAGGAACTCCAGTTTTCCTTTACGGATGAGATCATAGGACACAGTCTGAGCTTTGCAGGAGGCCAGATACAAATCACCAAAACAAAAAGCACTTAATTGTTTTTGTTGGTTTCTCATTTAATGTCCATCCAGAAAAAAAGAGGGGGAAAAAAGTTGCTAGTAAAGCAACTGTGAAGTATGGATGCCATTATTCCATTCAACACTACCAAGTGATTTTTTGTTTTTGTTTTTGTTTTGAGACACAGTCTCACTCTGTCGCCCAGGCTGGAGTGCAGTGGCATGGTTTCGGCTCACTGCAACCTCTGCTTCCCGGTTTCAAGCAATTCTCCTGTCTCAACCTCCTGAGTAGCTGGGACTACTGGCGCATGCCACCATGCCTGGCTCATTTTTGTATTTTTAGTAGAGATGGGGTTTTACCATATTGGTCATGCTGGTCTCGAACTCCTGACCTTACATGATCCACCTGCCTCGGCCTCCCAAAGTGCTGAGATTACAGGCATGAGCCACTGCACCCAGCCACAAATGTTTTTTATCACAGGTTTCAATAATATTCAAACTCATGATAATGGCTTTGTTGCAGAATGATGGAAAAAAACCCTATACATTTAAAAAATTATTTTCCAGTAAAACAAATCCGGCTGGGTGAAGTGGCTCATGCCTGGAATCCCAGCACTTTGGGAGGCTGAGGCAGGTGGATCTCAGGCTGAGTTCAAGACCAGCCAGGGCAATATGGCAGAACCCCATCTCTACCAAAATAAAAAAAATAGCCAGGTATGGAGGCACACACGTGTAATCCCAACTACTCGGGAGGCTAAGGAGGAAGGATCACTTGAGCCCGGGAGGTGATGATTGCAGTGAACCGTGATTGTGCCACTGCACTCCAGCCGGGGTGACAGAGTGAGACCCTGTCTCAAAAAAAGATGGGGAGTCAGAAAAGAGGGAGGGAGAAACGGATATTTATGTTCTAAAGGGAAAATCATCAAAATGGAAAGAAGAAATTAGACTCAACAATAGGAGCAGAGTGGCAGAGAGCCTTTGAGTATGTGAGAGCCACCCTACAATTATTATTTTTTATTTTTAGAGACAGGGTCTTGCTTTGTCACCCAGGCTGGAGTGCAATGGCATGATCATAGCTCACTGTAACCTTGAGCTCCTGGACTCAAGTGGTCTTCCTACCTCAGCCTCCCAAGTACCTGGGACTATAGGCATGTGCCACCATACCTGGCTAATTTATTTATTATATTTATTTATTTTTTTTGAGACGAAGTCTTGCTCTGTTGCCCAAGCTGGAATGTAGTGGGGCGATGTCTGCTCACTGGAACCTTAGCTTCCCAGGTTCAAGTGGTTCTCCTGCCTCAGCCTCCTGAGTAGCTGGGATTACAGGCACCTGCCACCAAGCCCGGCTAATTTTTTTTTTTTTTTTTTTTTTTTTGAGACTGAGTCTTGCTGTGTCGCCCAGGCTGGAGTGCAGTGGCACGATCTCGGCTCGCTACAACCTCTGCCTCCCGGGTTCAAGAGATTCTCCTGCCTTAGCCTCCCCAGTAGCTGGGATTATAGGCACCCGCCATCATGCCCAGCTAATTTTTGTATTTTTGTAGAGGCGGGGTTTCACCATGTTGGCCAGGCTGGTCTTGAACTCCTGACCTCAGGTGATCCGCCTGCCTCGGCCTCCCAAAGTGCTGGGATTACAGGCATGAGCCACCGCGCCTGGCCTAATTTTTGTATTTTTAGTAGATACAGGGTTTCACCATGTTGGCCAGGCTGGTCTCAAACTCCTGACCTCAGGTGATCCGCCCGCCTCGGCCTCCCAAAGTACTGGGATTACAGGCATGAGCCACCGCGCCCGGCCTAATTTTTGTATTTTTAGTAGATACAGGGTTTCACCATGTTGGCCAGGCTGGTCTCGAACTCCTGACCTCACGTGATCCACCTGCCTTGGCCTCCCAAAGTGCTGGGATTAGAGGCATGAGCCACTGCGCCTGGCCTGTGTATTTTTTTGTAGAGACAGGGCTCTCGCTATGTTGCCAAAGCTGGTCGTGAACTCCTAGGCTCAAGCAATCCTCCCACCTGAGCCTCCCAAAGTGCTGGAATTATAGGCTGGAGCCACTGTTCCTGGCCCCCACCCTATAATTAAAAGCAAAGTGGCTGGGCGTGGTGGCTTATGCCTGTAATCCCAGCACTTTGGGAGGCCGAGGCGGGTGGATCACGAGGTCAGGAGTTCGAGACCAGCCTGACCAACATGGTGAAACCCCGTCTGTACTAAAAATACAAAAATTAGCTGGGCATGGTGGTGGGTCCCTGTAATCCCAGCTACTCAGGAGGCTGAGGCAGGAGAATCACATGAACCCGGGAGGCAGAGGTTTCAGTGAGCTGAGATTGCGCCACTGCATTCCAGCCTGGGCGACAGAGTGAGAGTCCGTCTCAAAAAAAATAAAATAAAAAAAAGCAAAGGTCATTATGTTAAGTGAAACACGCCAGGCTCAGAAAGATATATACTGCATGTTCTCACTCATATATGGGAGCTAAAAAAGTTGATTTCATGGAAGTAGAATAGAATGACAGTTACCAGAGGGGCTGGGAAGGCTAGTGGGGTGTGGAGAGATTAGGAGAACTTGGTTAATGGGTACAAACTTACAATTAAATAGAAGGAATAAGTTATAGTGTTTGATAGTTCAGTAGGGTGACTATAGTTAACAATATTTTATTGTGTATTTCAAAGTAGCTAGAAGATTTGAAATGTTTCCAACACAAACAATGATAAATGTTGTAATAGATATCCTAGATTCTCTGATTTGATCTTTACACATCGTCTGCATATATCAAAATATCACATGTATTCCATAAATATGTACAATTACTCTGTATTTTTAAAAACCAAAGCATGGGAAAATATATCTTCAATTCCAATTTCCTTTTGGAACTAGATACCCTTCGGAAAAGGTGCTAAGAGCCCACATCACCCTGGTTTAGCTTGTTGTACAGGTTATTAGAATAGGGAAGGAACACCTTGGGCCCAGGAGTGAGTGTTTCTTCTTTTACAGGTGTAACTAAAAAAGCTAGTTGGTCTAACTTGTGTGTCTTTGTCCTATAAGCCTCTGCAGGTGTGCGAGCAGGATTGCTTCTGCAACAAAAGCCTCCACCCAGCCACATCTTGGGAAAAGAATGGCCACTTCTTGGGGCACAGTCTTTTTCATGCTGGTGGTATCCTGTGTTTGCAGCGCTGTCTCCCACAGGAACCAGCAGACTTGGTTTGAGGGTATCTTCCTGTCTTCCATGTGCCCCATCAATGTCAGCGCCAGCACCTTGTATGGAATTATGTTTGATGCAGGGAGCACTGGAACTCGAATTCATGTTTACACCTTTGTGCAGAAAATGCCAGGTAAGTGCAACTGGGACCCTTAGTAGAGTCTGTAAATCCACACTTTAGCATCTCCTCCCAGAAACAAATATGCTGAGAGTTTATTATGTGAATTACAGAATCTCACACCTAGTGGATGTCTTTCTTCAGAGAACTTTGGACTACAATTGAACATGTGGTTTATTTATTTATTTTTATTTATTTGTTTTGTTTTTATTTTTTAACTTTTTTTTTGAGACAAGGTCTTGCTTTGTTGCCCGGTCTGTAGTGCAGTGGCATGATGACACATCACTGCAACCTTGACCTCCTGGGCTCAAGCAGTCCTTCCACCTCAGCCCCCTGAGTTGTTGAGACTACAGGCTTGTGCCACCATGCCCAGCTCATTTTTAAATTTTTTTATAGAGACCTGCTCAGGCTGGCCTCAAACTCCTAGGCTCAATTGATCCTCCCACCTCAGCCTCCCAAAGTACTGGGATTATAGGTGTAAGTCACCATGCTTGGCCAGAACACATGGTTTAATTCAATGTGAAATTAGAAGAGAGCTGGGCTGTCTGTAGTCTGAAACCCATGTGTTCAAAAAGAATAGTTATAATTTGTTCTTCCTCTTTAAACATGGGATACTCCAGGGATCCATAATATTCAGAATATGGGGAGTGGTTTTGGGAGAAGGATCACATGAGAATTTCACTGCCATCCTTGGACATGAGGCTAGGAATCCCTGAAGATTAACTTTTTCTGAATTGTCAGTGTTTTTTCCTCAGGTCACTTATGGAGCCTGGGGAAAGGTGGAGGAGTTAGGTGTCCACCAGAGAAATGGTAGCAGAAATGGACCCTCAGAGGTTGCTCTAGTCCTTCTTTCCAGTACTCCTGCAAGACATTCCTCACAACTAGGATCATTTGGGATAACTTCAGGGAAGTCATAGGAAAACTTACAGAGACAGAGCCCAGCATCTGAAGCAGCCTAACTTTTGGTAACCAGCTCTCTCTTCTGTTTTGTTCCATGGACAAAATAGGACAGCTTCCAATTCTAGAAGGGGAAGTTTTTGATTCTGTGAAGCCAGGACTTTCTGCTTTTGTAGATCAACCTAAGCAGGTGAGTTTCTTATGATTTGATGTTTAGATTCTCAATGCCTTGATAACTTGACCACACCACTGCTGTTAAATATTTCATGCTATTCACTAATGAGATTGAGATCATGTGTGAGATCAGCTTTCTCTCCTCAGCTAATCTCCTGGATAAAATTAATTACATTTCCCACGCTCATGAGGGCTGGGTGGAAGAAGGCTAGAAAATTGGTTGTGGTAATGCAAGGATGACACTAGCTTTTAAGAGATTACTCCCTATGTACTTACTGTTTAAAATTTTGAGTTGAAGCCATCAGTTGTATTTGTTCATGTAAGCGCAGAAGATAAACATGAAGTTCTGTAGGGTATGATGTATAAACATGGCAGTTGAAGGCATGGTGAGCAGTGAATTCCATTTCAGAGTGCCTTGATGCAGGATGGAACCATATCTATACTTGAGAAATTAGGCAACAACCCATGATGACAAAAATCTTTGGTGGTAGAAGATGAATAGAGAGTTTGTGGCGACTATATTTCACATTTGAGCATCTACAACATACTACATCCTATGTGTCTGAGGCCATGTTGAAATAAAATAGAATAATGCAGAATGTTAAACTTGGGGAGCAAATGTAAAGGTATTTATTGTTCATTGTCACAAGAATAATCATTACCCAAATGCTTGATGTTAAAAATGATTTGAGTTTGGAGAACTGAGAGGATATATGGATATATATACATTTTCTTCTTTTTCTTTTTTTTTTTTTTTTTTGACGGAGTATCACTCTGTTACCCAGGCTGGAGTGCAGTGGCCTGATCTCGGCTTACTACAACCTCTGCCTCGCGGGTTCAAGCAATTCTTCTGCCTCAGCCTCCCGAGTAGCTGGGACTACAGGCATGTGCCACCATGCCCGGCTAATTTTTGTATTTTTAGTAGAGACGGGGTTTCACTATGATGGCCAGGCTGGTCTTGAACTCCTGACCTTGTGATCCGCCCATGTCAGCCTCTCAAAGTGCTGGGATTACAGGTGTGAGCCACTGCACCTGGCCCCGAGAGGATATATTTTCTTAGTTCAGTAGCACATGGATAGCAAATCTACTAGAAAAATTTGGAGCTGTTCAAAAGAAACTACCATCAGAGTAAACAGGCAACCTACAGAACGGGAGAAAATTTTTACAATCTACCCACCTGACAAAGGGCTAATATCCAGAATCTGCAAAGAACTTAACAAATTTACAAGAAAAAATCAAACAACCCCATCAAAAAGTGGGCAAAGGATATGAACAGACACTTCTCAAAAGAAGACATTTATGCAGCCAACGGACACATGAAAAAATGCTCATCATCACTGGCCATCAGAGAAATGCAAATCAAAACCACAATGAGACACCATCTCACACCAGTTAGAATGGCGGTCATTAAAAAGTCAGGAAACAACAAGTGCTGGAGAGGATGTGGAGAAATAGGAACACTCTTACACTGTTGGTGGGACTGTAAACTAGTTCAACCATTGTGGAAGACAGCGTGGTGATTCCTCAAGGATCTAGGAATAGAAATACCATTTGACCCAGCCATCCCATTACTCGGTATATACCCAAAGGATTATAAATCATGCTGCTATAAAGACACATGCACACATATGTTTATTGAGGCATCATTCACAATATCAAAGACTTGGAACGAACCCAAATGTCCATCAATGATAGACTAGATTAAGAAAATGTGGCACATATACACCATGGAATACTATGTAGCCATAAAAAAAGGATGAGTTCATGTCCTTTGTAAGGACATGTATGAAGCTGGAAACCATCATTCTGAGCAAACTGTCGCAAGAACAGAAAACCAAACACCGCATGTTCTCACTCATAGGTGGGAATTGAACAATGAGGACACAGGGTGGGGAACATCACACACCGGGGCCTGTCGTGGGGTGGCGGGAGCAGGGAGGGAAAGCATTAGGAGATATACCTAATGTAAATGATGAGTTAATGGGTGCAGCCCACCAACGTGGCACATGTATGCATATGTAACAAACAAACCTGCACATTGTGCACATGTACCCTAGAACTTAAAGTATTAAAAAAAAATACCAGGGTCAGGGGTATATTTGAATAGTAAATAAATAAATTAATTAATTAAAAATAAATAATTAAAAAAGAAAAATTAGGAGCTGTTGAAAGCAACTATATTATTAGAAACTGACTTGGCATTTAGAAAAGGTGATCGTGTTGTAGTTGCTAACAATAATGATCAAAGGGCAGTCAGATATCAGAATAGAAGTTCATTCAGGGAAATAGTGGATTTAAAATAATGGTTTTCATTTATTACAAATTGAGCATCTACTGTGTGCCATATGATGATACAGGAATAAGCCTGACATGTTCTTTAGGAGATCATCAAAAGTATGGCATCATTACTGCCACAGCTTGTGTGGTAACCACATGCACTATGCCTCATGCACACAACAGTTTAGTGGTGGTAGGCAGCGTATCTACCATCCCACACTTGAGGAAACCAAGTCCCAACAAGGCCAAGTGACCTAAGTTAGGCCACAGGGCTAGCAAGCAAGTCTTCTGACTCTAACTCCTGTTTTCTTCACTCTACCATCCTAAAGCTGATTTATATATAAGAAACATGAAATAATCAGCCAGGTGCTGTGGCGCATGCCTGTAATCCCAGCTACTCAGGAGGCTGAGGCAGGAGAATCGCTTGAACCCGGGAGGCAGAGGTTGCAGTGAGCCGAGATTGTGCCGTTGCACTCCAGCCTGGGTAACAAGAGCAAAATTCCGTCTTAAAAAAAAGAAAAAGATAATCAACTAAAATGATCACAATATAAAAGAATAATTTGGCCAGGCACGGTGGCTCATGCTTGTAATCCCAGCACTTTGGGAGGGTGAGGTGGGTGGATCACTTGAGGTCAGGTATTCGAGACCAGCCTGGCCAAGATGGTGACACCCTGTCTCTACTAAAAATACAAAAATTATCTGGGTGTGGTGGCATATGCCTGTAATCCCAGCTACTTGGGTGACTGAGGCACAAGCATCGCTTGAACCTGGGAGGTGGAGGTTGCAGTGAGCCAAGATCACAAGATCATGCCACTGCACTCCAGCCTGGGTGACAGAGCAAGAATGTCCCAAAAAAAATAATAATAATAATAATAATTTTTTATTAGGACTGTCAAAATGAAATGGATTCTCCTTTTTTTTTTTTTTTTGAGATGGAGTGTCACTCTGTTGCGCAGGCTGTAGTGCAGTGGCATAGGCTTGACTCACTGCAACCTCTGCCTCCCAGGTTCAAGCAATGCTCTTGCCTCAGCCTCCCGAGTAGCTGAGACTACAGGTGTGTGCCACCATGCCTGGCTTATTTTTGTATTTTTTAGTGGAGATGGGGTTTCACCATGTTGGTCAGGCTGATCTCAAACTCCTGACCTCAAATGATCCACCCACCTTGGCCTCCCAAAGTTCTGGGATTACAGGTGTGAGACACCACTGCGCCTGGCCTGGATTCTCCTTCAAAGCGGCCCACTTCTCTAGGTTTCTCCTGCTACAGAGCAGAGAGAGGTTGGAGCCCTATGCCACCTCCCTCTTCTTGCTCCCACAAAGTATGTTGACAGAATAGACCAGTGCCAGCCACTAAATGGATCGTTCATCAGATGAACGGGTTATCTCTTTTGAAGGGTGCTGAGACCGTTCAAGGGCTCTTAGAGGTGGCCAAAGACTCAATCCCCCGAAGTCACTGGAAAAAGACCCCAGTGGTCCTAAAGGCAACAGCAGGACTACGCTTACTGCCAGAACACAAAGCCAAGGCTCTGCTCTTTGAGGTAAGTTTTAAAACTGCATCTTGGATCATTCTGCCCTTTTCCCTATATGAATACTTTATGAGTTTTTAGCCTTTTGGAATGTGACCACTACCTTCAGTATTCCACCACTGCCAAAGCATTGTGATGACTCTGACCACTTGTTATAGCTAGTTGTTTACATTTTTAACTATCACTCTTAAATGTATAGAGCTTTTCCTAAAAAATTTAAAGTACTTTCTATCTAGGATATTCTTCATTCTTTTTATTTTTATTTTTATTTTTTGAGATGGAGTCTCACTCTGTCACCCAGGCTGGAGTGCAGTGGCGCCATCTTGGCTCACTGCAAGCTCCACCTCCCAGGTTAATGCCATTCTCCTGCCTCAGCCTCCGGAGTAGCTGGGACTACAGGCACCTGCCACCACACCCGACTAATTTTTTGTATTTTTAGTAGAGACGGGGTTTCACTGCGTTAGCCAGGATGGTCTCGATCTCCTGACCTCGTGATCTGCCCGCCTCAGCCTCCCAAAGTGCTGGAATTACAGGCATGAGCTGCTGCACCTGGCTGATATTCTTCATTCTTTTAGATTTTTAAAGCAGAATCAGAAGTCGTTTCTAATCAACTTTATTAAGATAAACTTACATACAATAAAATATATCTATTTTAGGCTGGGCACGGTGGCTCACACCTGTAATCCCAGCACTTTGGGAGGCTGAGGCAGGTGGATTGCCTGAGGTCAGGAGTTTGAGACCAGCCTGGCTAACATGGTGAAACCTCATCTCTACTAAAAATACAAAAATTAGCTGGGCATTGTGGCGCACGCCTGTAGTCCCAGCTACTCAGGAGGCTGAGGCAGGAGAATCGCTTCAACCCAGGAAGCAGAGGTTCCACTAAGCTGAGATCACACCACTGCACTCCAGCCTGCGCAACAGAGCGAGACTGCATCTCAAAAAACAAACAAACAAAAAATTATATATTTTAGGTGTACAGTTAAATGAGTTTTGACAAGAAATAGAAATTTCCTCATGCTCTTTTATAGTGAGTTTCCCTCACCCCTGAAACCAACCAATCACTAATTTGCTTCCTGTCACTATAAGTTTTGCTTATTCTTTTCATATAAATGGAATTATACAGTTTTTATTTTTATTTTTGTATATCTGGCTTTTTTCCTCTCAGCATAAAGTTTTTGAGAAGAATAATGGAACTTTAAAGTTTGATTTTTTTTTTTTTTTTGGAAACAGAGTCTCACTCTGTCTTCCAAGCTTGAGTGCAGTGGCACGATCTTGGCTCACTGCAACCTCCACCTCCCAGGTTCAAGCAATCCTCCTGCCTTAGCCTCCCAGTTAACTGAGATTACAGTTATGTGCCACCACACCCGGCTAATTTTTATAAATTTTTTTGTAGACATAGGGTTTCACCATGTTGCCCAGGCTTGGTTTCAAACTCCTGAGCTCAGGCAGTCCACCTTCCTTGGCCTCCCAAAGTGCTAGGATTATAGGAACAGGCATGAGCCACCACGCCTGGTGAAGTCATATATATATATATACATTTTTTTTTTCTGTTACCCAGACTGGAGTGCAGTGGCACAATGTTGGCTCACTGCAACCTCCGCCTCCCAGGTTCAAGCAATTCTTCTGCCACAGCCTCCAGAGTAGTTGGGATTATAGGCATGCACCACCACGCCTGGCTAATTTTTGTATTTTTAATGGAGACAGGGTTTCACCATGTTGGCCAGGCTGGTCTCAAACTCCTGGCCTCAAACTCCACCCACCCCGGCTTCCCAAAGTGCTGGGATTACAGACGTGAGCCACTGCACCCGGCCCTAAGTCATATATTTCAACTCCCTTCTTATTCAGATCAAAAATTTAAGTATAGAGAGTTTTGTTAAATTCAGTATTTTTATTTTTATTCTTATTTATTTATTTATTTATTTATTTTTTGAGAGGCGGAGACTTGCTCTGTCGCCCAGGCTGGAGTGCAGTAGTGCGACCTCAGGTCACTACAACCTCTGCCTCCCAGATTCAAGCGATTCTCCTGCCTCAGCTTCCCGAGTAGCTGGGACTACAGGCGTGCGCCACCACTCCCAGCTAATTTTTGTATATTTTAGTAGAGATGGGGTTTCGCCATGTTGGTCAGGCTGGTCTCAAACTCCTGACCTAAGGTGATCTGCCCGCCTCAGCCTCCCAAAGTACTGGGATTACAGGCATGAGCCATTGTGCCCAGCCAAACTCAGTATTTTTAAATTTTATTGTATATATTTGTTATGCAATAAACATGTAAGTTAATAAAATTTAAATTTCATGTTGTGAAGAATATAAGCAGAATCTCATTATAACAAAAAATCAGGCTCGGTGCAGTGGCTCATGCCTGTAATCTCAACATTTTGGGAGGCCAAAGCAGGAGGATTGCTTGAGGCCAGGAATTTGAGACCAGTCCAGACAACAAAGCAAGACCCCTATTTCTACAAAAAAAATTAAGTCCCGGTGTGGTAGCTCATGCCCAAAATCCCAGCTCTATGGGAGGCCAAGGCGGGCAGATCACCTGAGGTCAGGAGTTTGAGACCAGCCTGGCCAACATGGTGAAACCCCGTCTCTACTGAAAATACAAAAATTAGCTGGGCATGGTGGCTCACGCCTGTTGGTCAACTACTCAGGAGGCTAAGGCAGGAGAATTGCTTGAACTTGGGAGGCGGAGCTTGCAGTGAGCCGAGATCACGCCACTGCACTCCAGCCTGGGCAACAGAGCGAGACTCTGTCTCAAAAAAAAAAAAAGATTGAAACTGAAAATCATAGTAGGCCAGGCGCGGTGGCTCATGCCTGTAATCCCAACACTTTGGGAGGCCGAGGCGGGCGGATCACCTGAGGTCAGGAGTTCAAGACCAGCCTGGCCAACATGGTGAAACCCTGTCTCTAATAAAAATACAAAAATTAGCTGGGCATGGTGGCAGGCATCTGTAATCCCAGCTACTGGGGAGGCTGAGGCAGGAGAATTACTTGAACCTGGGAGGCAGAGGTTGCAGTGAACCAAGATCGTGCCATTGCACTCCAGCCTGGGTGACAAGAGTGAAACTCTGTCTCAAAAAAAAAAAAAAAAAAAATCATGGCAAAAAAGGACTCTGTATTACAGGCCCTAAATCCATTTTCCTTTGACTGTCAGTACAGAGGACTTAAGTCACTTATCCAAGGATGAGCAGCCTAATATGTCTCTGTGAGAACCTGAATCCTGATTCCTGATTTATTCCTCATTTATTCAACATAAGAGTGCTTACTGGGCCAGGTGCAGTGGCTTACGCCTGTAATCCCAGCACTTTGGGAGGCCAAGGCGGGTGGATCACGAGGTTAGGAGATCGAGACCATCCTGGCTAACACGGTGAAACCCCGTCTCTACTAAAAATACACAAAATTAGCCAGGCGTGGTGGTAGGCACCTGTAGTCCCAGCTACTCGGGAGGCTGAGGCAGGAGAATGGTGTGAACCCGGGAGGCAGAGGCTGCAGTGAGCTGAGATGGCGCCACTGCACTCCAGCCTGGGTGACAGAGCAAGATTCTGTCTCAAAAAAAAAAAAAAAAAGTGCTTACTATGTACTGGGTACTGGTGAAGTTACTGGAATACATTCAGCAGGGAACCAAAAATACAAAAATGGTCTTTGCACTCCTGTAGCTTACATTCTACTTCAGGAAGACAGAAAATAAACATCTGAACAAGTCAAAAGAAAGTTATGTTAGGTTCTGCAGGTGCTATGGAGGGAAAAAAAAAAAGCAGGGAAAGGCAGGTAGGGAATCTGTTGATAGTGTGGGGGAAATGCTATTTTAAATAGGACAGTCAGGGAAGAAGTCTTTGATAAAATTCAGTTGATCAGAGATCTTAGGGGGATGAAGAAGCAAGTTACACAAGACATTTGTGGGAAGAATATTCCAGGCTAAAGAAACAGCAGGTGCAAAGGCCAGAGGCAGGTATGTGCTTGGTATGTTAGGAACAGCATCCAGGAGGTCAGCATAGCTGGAGAGGAAAGAGCGATATGAGAGGTAAGGAGGCGGTAACCTCAGAGAGGCAGGGTTAAGGGGTGTTTATCATGTAGGATCTCAAATGCCAGTGTAATCACTTTGGCTTTTTCTTTTTCTTTTTTCTTTTTGAGACTGAATTTTGCTCTTGTTGCCCAGGACGGAGTGCAATGGCGCTATCTCTGTTCACTGCAACCTCCACCTCCTGGGTTCAAGTGATTCTTCTGCCTCAGCCACCCAAGTAGCTAGGATTACAGGCATGCGCCATCATGCCCGGCTAATATTCTATTTTTAGTATAGATGGGTTTTCACCATGTTGGTCAGGCTGGTCTCAAACTCCTGACTTCAGGTGATCCGCCCGCACTTTGGCTTTTTCTATAAGAAGGAAGCCACTGGAAGGTTTTTTGTTTTTTGGCGTTTTGTTTTGTTTTGTTTTGTTTGAGACAGAGTCTCACTCTTGTTACCCAGGCTAGAGTGCAATGGCGCGATCTCGGCTCACTGCAACCTCCACCTCCTGGGTTCAAGCGATTCTCCTACCTCAGCCTCCCAGGTAGCTGGGATTACAGGTGCCCACCACCATGCTAATTTTTTTGTATTTTTAGTAGAGATGGGGTTTCATCATGTTGGCCAGGCCGGTCTCGAACTCCTGACCTCAGGTGATCCACCTGCCTCGGCCTCCAAAAGTGCTGGGATGAGAGGTATGAGCCACCATGCCCGGCTGCCACTGGAAGGTTTTGAGCCAAGGAAACACATGATTTGACGTCCATTTTTAAAGCACCGTTCTGGCTGCTGTTTTGAGAACAAACTGTAGGATGGGGGAGAAAAGTGGAGAAGGCAAGAGCAGAAGCTCTCTTGCTGTGCTTCATCCTGTTCACTTATCTGTCTTTAAAAGTTTGTTTATATATAACTTAACTGGTTTTTCCTGGTTGAAACAGGATCCAGAGGTCATTATGTGGTATGTTTCATCCATCAGAAATGAGAACAGCAAACAGACTAGCGTTCTTCCTATCCTATTTGGAGAATTCTTTTTTCTTTCCCTTGATAATTATATAAACATAAGACATTAACACCCATATCAATGGTCTGTATTATGGAGAGGCAAGATGTTTTTGCAAGATCGTCATTCCCATCTCCTGAAACAGGATTCCTTAAGTCTAGATCTGGAGTCTCCCCATGCTCTAGAGACCCTAGCCATGTGCCAGAATCTGACAGGAGCTGGTAGCAGAGTACCTCAGCCCTTAGGTGTGAACTTCACCACAGCAGGTTCATGTCAGCTCATCTAAGGAATGGAGTGGGAAGGCTCCTCCTAGTTTCCAGTGTATGTCCAGGTAGAGTTTATCAGGTTTAAAAAGTTACAGGATCCTGATTTGAGCTGGCAGGGTTAAATATATGCCTTTCCATAGGTCCAGTTCACCTATACATTTAGATGGTTTGGTTTAGCTTTACTTAAAGTCAAAGGAATCTCTGTGTTTGTGTTTTTGCAAGAAACTGGTAATGGCTTGCCTAGTTTCTTCTCTAGTTTCTTAGGGCAAAGGAATGAGTTTTGCCAAAATTTTATCTAGGAAAAATGGAGTAGTTTTCTAAGTCTTACAGGACACTGTCAAAATATGGAAATCTATTTTATTGCCTTAGGGAATTCTTTTTTTTTTTTTTTCCTTTTTCTCTAGGTAAAGGAGATCTTCAGGAAGTCACCTTTCCTGGTACCAAAGGGCAGTGTTAGCATCATGGATGGATCCGACGAAGGTGGGAGAGGTGTTGATATGCGTTCCAGGGGGAGAGGGGCAGGATCAGTGAAAGATCTAACTAAAGGAACTGGGGCCAGGAATAAACAGAAGGAATGAGATAGCAGGAAATAGAAGACAGGGAGAAGGGAACATGTGCTCTAGACATGGAATTTAGAGAGGAAAAAAAAAAAACAAGGTTGGGGCCAGGAAAGAGAAAAAATGCTCTGGGATCTAATCCTTGTCTTTCTTTCTTTTTAGGCATATTAGCTTGGGTTACTGTGAATTTTCTGACAGGTAATACATCCTCAAGTTTATCTTTAGAGCTTAACTAGCTTTTACATGCATAGTCAGAGGAGTAAAAGCCTTTTCTTTCATTCTGTATTGTTTCTTCTTCTTTAAAAAAGGAAAAGAGGCTGGGTGTGGCAGTTCATGCCTGTTAATTCCAGCGCTTTGGGAGGCTGAGTTGGGCAGATCACTTGAGGCCAGGAGTTCAAGACCAGCCTGGCCAACATGGCGAAACTCCGTCTCTACCAAAAATACAAAAATAGCTGGGCATGGTGGTGTGTACCTGTAGTCCCAGCTACTCAGGAGGCTGGAGAATCACTTGAACCCAGGAGGCAGAGGTTGCAGTGAGCTGAGAGCCGAGATTGCGCCACTGCACTCCAGGCTGGATGATAGAGCAAGACTCTGTCTCCAAAAAGGCCTTCCAAAAAAAAAAAAAACACCTGCCTTGAAGGCCTCTGCTGCAACAAGAGTCCTTCCGAGTTGACATTCACCTGCAGCCTTGGGGCTGGGGAGCAGTGGAGTATGTATGGAATACCTTCAGTGTATGATAAGAGCAAGAGAGACAAGTGTTGGGCTGCCCAGGATGTCGAGGCTATTTAGAGCTGGCTCTCATTTGACAGGTCAGCTGCATGGCCACAGACAGGAGACTGTGGGGACCTTGGACCTAGGGGGAGCCTCCACCCAAATCACGTTCCTGCCCCAGTTTGAGGTGAGTCATTTAATGAAGATCTGGTTAGAAGTGCACTTGGCAGGCGTATCATGGTGCCAAGAAAGAGGCGCCCCATTTTCAGCCAGCAGCTCTACCACGCTTAGGCAGAGTCAAGTCAATTAATAACTAGGTGAATGTTCCCTTGCCATCTCACTGTTCAGAATCCCTTCGTTTCCTCAAGCCTAGTGAGATTAGCCCCTTAATCTGTCTTCATCTCTGATTTTTTGCTGGGAGGGACGGGTGGTGGTGTGAACATCTTCAGGTAATTACAGATCCTGAATAGTCTTTTTGCTTTTTCTGATTTGCAGAAAACTCTGGAACAAACTCCTAGGGGCTACCTCACTTCCTTTGAGATGTTTAACAGCACTTATAAGCTCTATACACATAGGTGAGGACGGGGACAGGGAAGAAGAATATTTCATGTTGTATGATTCTCCTAACTTTCCAAAGCATTCTCAAATCTGTTATTGTATCTGATTAGCAAAAACAAAGTCTGTGCCAATTCCCTAAGGCCTATCAACTGAAACCCGGTCCACTTACAAAGCCGGAGGAGCCTAAGAGGCTTCTCCATTCTTGGCCTCAAAAGCATTAATATATGACTTAAGAGTCAAAAGTTTTCGGCTGGGTGCAGTGGCTTCATGCCTGTAATCCCTGCACTTTGGGAGGCCGAGGTGGGTGGGTCACCTGAGGTCAGGCGTTTGAGACCAGCCTGGCAAACATGGTGAAACCCCGTCTCTACTAAAATACAAAAATTAGCTGGATATGACAGCGCACACCTGTAATCCTAGCTATTCAGGAGGCTGAGGCAGGAGAATCATTTGAACCCTGGAGGCGGAGATTGCAGTGAGCCGAGATCACACCACTGCACTTCAGCCGGAGCGACAGAGCAAGACTCAGTCTCAAAAAAAAAAAAAAAAAAAGAATCAAAAGCTTTCTGTAGGGAGAGGACACTTCAAGAAGGCTCAGGCAAAGCTCCTTGCCAGCTCCTTTGAGCTGGCCTTCAGAGGTTCAGAATCCAGCCTGGAATGTGATCCCAGTTGGGGCTAGGAGCTAAGCTAAAGAGAGCTTTTCTGGGAATGGTTCCTAGTGTGGGACCCTAGGAATTGTCACTGTCTCTGGCCTTTGAATGATAACTGTGGGGAATTCTTACTGCATAGCCTTGATCCAAACTGTGCAGAAATTACCCCTTGTTGACCACAGGAGATGAATATGTCACAGACAGAACAAGGTTTTCATCTTTCCAGAGGGACACAGGAACAATGTTACTTTTGAAAGAGGTAGCTTTAGGCTAGAGAACTTCAGGACCAGCATGAAATTAGTCAATCCTGTATTTTACAGTTACCTGGGATTTGGATTGAAAGCTGCAAGACTAGCAACCCTGGGAGCCCTGGAGACAGAAGGTTTGTCTGGGTACCTGTGCTGGGGGGGGATGGTGAGGGTGACACAGATACTCCGCTTGCTTCTTCCCTTCCTTGATAGCCATTCTATGAAGGAAAAGATTATGTTGAATTGGGAGGCAAATGTTGTATAATGGACCTAATAATGGCAAACTCCTTTTCTAGTTTATAAGTTCAGAAGTTTTGATGTATATTATTAGCCATTTTTAGAATGAGGTCTACTTGTTCAGGGGTAACAGCCTATGTCTAGGCAGCTGAAGTGTCTGCAGAAATCCCAGGCTTTACGAATACATTCAGCAGGAGCTTGCTCAAGCCCTGAGCTTTACATTGGAGGCACAGGAAGCAGAGTCTGTTCTACATGCAGGTGGAACAACAGAGTAACTCCATTGATCTCTTCACAGGTCAGGCAGAACTGGGTTCAGTCCCAGTGTTGTGATATGAGGCAAGTAACCTATCTGTGCCCCTTTCCTCACATTAAATGAGAATTTGCATTTAAGGCACTTTGTACAGTAATCTGTTATTGGGATGACATCTATTTTGCATTTCAGAGTATACAAAACATCTTCAAGTATATTTAATTGAAGCCTCTCAGCAACCAGTGAGGAAGGTAGCATAGCATTTCTTTCCTGTTTTTATAAAGGTGGAAAGTTGCTGTATTGAAGGTTTTGGATCTCTTTGAGATGTGATGAAAGCCATGGACCCCTCTGACAAAAGCACATATGCATGAAAATTTGCTTCTGGTTTCAGGGGGTTCACCAACCCCACAAAGCCTATCTTTGAACCCTGAGTTAAGGATTCCTGTCACAGGATGTTGTCATGGAATTAATTTCATAGGATTTTAAGGCCCAGCCCCCATGGTGATTCTTTTCCACCTCACTGGCTTCTTGCTTGCCTTCCTCCCTCTCTCTCACTTACTTACCTCTTACCTTGTGCCCTGGATTCTTTCAGGGACTGATGGGCACACTTTCCGGAGTGCCTGTTTACCGAGATGGTTGGAAGCAGAGTGGATCTTTGGGGGTGTGAAATACCAGTATGGTGGCAACCAAGAAGGCAAGTGATGTTTTTTCACTGGTTAAAGTTACGTTTACAATGGAAGCTCTGGAAAAGTCCCATGGGAAACTTTTTCCAGAACTCAAGAGAAGCTTATCTTGTTGCAGGGACTTATTCCAAAGATCTTGGCATGCCTCCAAGGACTAATGTGAAGTGACAGTGAACAAAGCAGCTGTCATTCTGCATCAGCCAAGTGTCATGGACCCATTAGATACCTGCCCTTAGCCAAGTGCTGTGGTGCACATCTATTGTCCTAGCTACTCCAAAGGTTGAGGCAAGAGGATCACTTGAGCCCATGAGTTCAAGGCTATAGTGCGCAATGCCACTGCACTCCAGCCTGGGCAACAGGGAGACCCTACCTCTTACAAATTAATTAAGAAGCATATTCTAAGCCTAGGTCTAATGCAGCAGTGTGAAAGCCTGTTTAGTTAATGGTTAGCTATTTAAATTATAGTAAAACTTAAAACCAAGACAAGAATGATTCATCTTCTTATAAAAGGTATATACCTGAATATCAAGGAATGAACCTGAATTCCCAGTGAAGGAAGCAGGCGAGCCCTTTAGCTACTTGCTTACAAATGCTATGGAATGTAATGCTAGGCAGCAGCACAAGGTTGGCCATGATCTGGTGAATACAGATTAGGCAGGAGAGCGGCCATGGAGAAACAGACTGGTGAGGCTGCAGACGTTTGCTCATCTTTGTTTTGACGCCTCTTGTCCCAAGCCTCAGCCTTCTCCTGCTTTCCTTGACCTTCCTGCTGTTCCCTCATTGTCTCCAGCAGCCTGCCTCAGAGAGTGTCCCCTTCCCCCAGCGTCGTTCTCACCTTACCCCTGTGCACCTTTGCCTGGCAGGGGAGGTGGGCTTTGAGCCCTGCTATGCCGAAGTGCTGAGGGTGGTACGAGGAAAACTTCACCAGCCAGAGGAGGTCCAGAGAGGTTCCTTCTATGCTTTCTCTTACTATTATGACCGAGCTGTTGACACAGACATGATTGGTGAGTTCACCCCAGGTGTCAGTCCAGAGAGGAAGGTGGATAGGGCTGTGGTGGGGAAGGTCAAGGAGAAAGAGCACTTGAGGTGCTTTGTCGGGGTGATTACCCACCTCTTTTCTAGTCACTCGAACAAAAGGGTGGAAATGACTTAGAGTCTTTTGGAGGTGAGAGATGACCAAAACAACTATATGAGGTCTTTTTTTTTTTAACATGTTTATTGAGGTATAATTGGCATACAATAAGTGCACATTTAAAGTATACAATTTAAGTTTTGTCATGTATACACCCATGAATCCATCAGCACATTGAAGATAATAAACATATTCACCACAAAAAGTTTCCTCCTGTCTCTTTATAACTTTTCTTCTTATCACAAAAGCAGTGTTTTTGCCTAACTGTGAAAGTATATGTACCTGATCTGTCATGGCCTGAGAGAGATGAATTAATTTCCTATTATTGTGGGGGTTTTGTTGTTGTTGTTGTTTTGGTTTTTTGTTTGTTTGTTTGTTTTTTGAGACAGAGTCTCACTCTGTTACCCAGGCTGGAGTGCAATGGCATGATCTAGGCTCACTGCAACCTCTGCCTCCCGGGTTCAACCGATTCTCCTGCCCCAGTCTCCTGAGTAGCTGGGATTACAGGTGCCTGCCACCACACCCGGCTAATTTTTTTTTTAATAGAGACGAGGTTTCACCATGTTGGTCAGGCTGGTCTTGAACTCCTGACCTCGTTATCTGCCTTCCTCGGCCTCCCAAAGTGCTGGGATTACAGGCATGAGCCACCACACCCGGCCTATTGTGTTTTATGGGTCTGTTTTTTCCATTGTGGTTAAATATACATAACATGGAATAGATTGTAAATAAGTAAATTAGGTTGCATAGATTACATTATGTACATGTGTATATAATGAATGAATGAATGAATTTCCTTATGCTTCCTTGAAGGCGTTTTGATATCAGATAATCTTCTGTTTTATTTCAGATTATGAAAAGGGGGGTATTTTAAAAGTTGAAGATTTTGAAAGAAAAGCCAGGGAAGGTAAGTGTCAGGGGAAGCCCTTGAAGGTAAGCCTGTGAGACTGCCTGCCTACTCTAGTGACCTAAAGTGACCTAAAGCACCTCAGTCAGCTCAGAAGGCCTATCAGAAGGCTAGTTTCCTTTCTGAGTCTTCCAGTCTTTGCTAAAAGTTAAAAGCATTGGGTGGTAGCCAGGCATGGTGGCACGCATCTGTAGTCCCAGCTACTCAGGGCGGGAGGATTGCTTGAGGCCAGAAATTCAAGGTTATAGTGCACTATAATCACACCTGTGAACAGTCACTGCATTGCAGCTTAGGCAACATAGTGAGACCTCTGTCTCTAAAAAAATAAATTTTTTTTCAGCTTTATGCAGCATAGAATTATGGGCAAGAATATGGGAATACAAGAGGTTTTAGGAGGCCGGGCACGGTGGCTCACGCCTGTAATCCCAGCATTTTGGGAGGCCAAGGTGGGCGGATCACCTGAGGTCAGGAGTTCAAGACAGCCTGGCCAACATGGTGAAACCCCATCTCTACTAAAAATACAAAAATTAGCCAAGGAAGGTGGCAGGCGCCTGTAATCCCAGCTACTCGGGAGGCTGAGGTAGGAGAATCGCTTGAACCTGGGAGGCAGAGGTTGTAGTGAGCCAAGGTTGTGCCACTGCACTCCAGCCTGAGCAACAGAGTGAGACTCCACCTCAAAAAAAAAAAAACAAAGAGGCTTTAGGGCTTTAGGGAAATGGTGAAGACCTTTTTTTTCCTTCTACATTTCTTGCTTTCTTTTTTAAATTGAAATAGTGTTATCAGTGTTAATGAAACACTAAGCATCAAAAGACATGGTAAATAGCCACAGAGGCTTCCTTGAGAGGATCAAAACTACCAAGAGAGCTAGGCACAGTGGTTCGACCTGTAGTCTCAGCTACTTGGGAGGCTGAGGCAGGAGGATCGTGTGAACCCAGGAGCTTGAGGCTGCAGGGAGCTGTGATCATGCCACTGCACTCCACCCTGGGTGACAGCATGAGACCTTGTCTCTAAAAAAAAAAATTAATAAAAAGTTTTTAAAAATTAAAAAATAAAATACAAATGATCTTATCGAGTAGCCCACAGTAGGGTTAAATGATATTTCCCTGTCTTCTGGGCCTCACCATTAATAATAGATAAGGGATTTAGAACTAAGCCCCCACAATAGGTCATAGAAACTTAGCAAATAAACTAGAGCCCATGTAAATGTGAATAGATAATCATACCAGAGATGTGCAAGTTCTTCAGAAGCTGCGGTCTTACAGAGGCAGTCAGTGCAGTCTAGTCTCTGAGATGCCTAAGCATTAACCAAAGGGAGACTTCTGCTTTGCTTATTCTTCTTCTCCCCCTACCTTTTTTTTTTGAGACAGAGTCTTGCTCTGTCACCCAGGCTGGAGTGCAGTGGTGAGATCTCGGCTCACTGCAACCTCTGCCTTCCAGGTTCAAGCGATTCTCCTGCCTCAGCCTCCCGAGTAGCTGGGATTACAGCGGTACACCACCACGCCCTGCTAATTTTTGTATTTTTAGTAGAGATGGGGTTTCACCACGTTGGCCAGGCTGATCTCAAACTCCTGACCTCAGGTGATCCACCCGCCTCAGCCTCCCAAAGTGCTAGGATTACAGGCGTGAGCCACCGCGCCTGGCCCCTATTCCACTTCTTTCTAAGAGAAAATCCTACACCTCTCAGTTAGTTGCAAACTTGAGCTCCACTGTTTACTCTCTCTTTCAGTGTGTGATAACTTGGAAAACTTCACCTCAGGCAGTCCTTTCCTGTGCATGGATCTCAGCTACATCACAGCCCTGTTAAAGGATGGCTTTGGCTTTGCAGACAGCACAGTCTTACAGGTAAGAGACAGGACACCAGAGTCTCATAACAGCCCTCTTTTGTGGGGGTTGAGAAGGAGTAAGAGCTTGTTCAGTAATCAGAGTAGCTAGAAGTGAAATTATGAGGTATTTTTGTTTGGGCTATGGACAAGGTACTGTGCTGGGCACCATGAATGTGGGAAATTATCTCAATGCAATGGTAGCCTCCGAGTGTATTACCAGGCAAGCTATCGCACAGGTCACAGAACAGAAAGACTAGCAGCCCAAATTAAGATGCCAAGTCACATGGTTTATTTATTTATTTATTTATTTATTATTATTTTTTTGAGATGGAGTCTCGCTCTTGTTTCCTGGGCTGGAGTGCAATGGCATGATCTCAGCTCACTGCAACCTTCGCCTCCTGGGTTCAAGCGATTCTTCTGCCTCAGCCTCCCAAGTAGCTGGGATTACAGGCATGCGCCACCACTCCTGGCTAATTTTTTTGTATTTTTATTGGAGATGGGGTTTCACTATGTTGGCCAGGCTGGTCTCGAACTCCTGAGAACTCCTGACCTCAGGTGATCCGCCCACCTCGAACTCCCAAGTGCTGGGATTACAGGCGTGAGCCACTGCACCCGGCCCACATGGTTTATTAAATCAGTTTAGAACTCAGGGTGAGAAGCAAGGGGAAAGAGTTGGAGAGGTGAACACAGAAGACACGGTGCAAGCAGGATGCAAGTGCCACACTCTCTGAATCTTGGGTTCCATTTGTCCTAGGTTTATATGTCCTGCCTGTCTCTGCTGCTAATAGAGTGGTTACACATACTAGAGCTGAAGTTCGGTCATGGGAGCACAAAGACAAAAGGTGCCTGAGGCCACCACACAAACTTGCCCTATTTGGAGAGGCCCCAGGGGCACACACACATGGCCATTTGCATTAGCTCAGTCATTAGCCTATAAGATGGGTTTTCTTTGGCAGAGGACATGAGAGACCAAGAGGGTGTCACCAGTGAGTGGCTTATTTAAGGCCTCATGAACACTGAATGCCTCATGCATATGTAATGTGTCATATATATTTCATGTGTGCCTCGTATATTTAATGCCTCTTGAATCTTAGGTCTTTCTTTGTCCTCCTGTCTCTCTCCATCTGTTTCAGTACCTGCAGGCTCTACTTTATCTGTAGTAAGTTATTTATCCCCAGTTTTGGGCACAGTGTCTAGGCTCTATTACATCAGGTCAACACAGAACAATCAACTGGTTTATAGACTTTTTTGGTGGTGGTAGCATCTTTATCCAACAAAAACTTATGTAGAATATCAGTAATACAGCCGGGCCTGATGGCTCACGCCTGTAATCCTAACACTTTGGGAGGCTGAGGCGGGCGGATCACCTGAGGTCAGGAGTTCGAGACCAGCCTAGCCAACATGGTGAAACCCCGTCTCTACTAAAAATACAAAAATTAGCCGGGCGTGGTGGCAGGTGCCTGTAATCCCAGCTACTTGGGAGGCTGAGGCAGGAGAATCACTTGAACCTGGGAGGCAGAGGTTCCAATGAGGAGAGATCATACCATTGCACTCCAGCCTTGGCAACAAAGAGCGAAACTCCGTCTCAAAAAAAAAAAAAAAAGAGTATCAGTAATATAAAACTGGTAAAAGTGGAACTATTCTGGTTGAAGCAGAGATTGGGGGCCTGAAACTCCTCTATCATTTGGCCTCCCTTTTTCCTTCGAAGCATTTCTAAGAAACCCCTAAAATTCTGAAGAAAACAAATTGATAAACCGATAAACACTAATCTAATCCTCTTCTTATATAGTTGAGGAATTTGGGTCTAAAGTTTTGCCCAAGGTCACTAAGCTAATTGAGATATGTACTGGCTTAGAATGTCTTAAGTTCCCTGTTTGATTATTTTTTTCTTTTCTTTTTCTTTTGAGACCAAGTTTCGCTCTTGTTGCCCAGGCTGGAGTGCAATGGTGCAATCTCAGCTCACTGCAACCTCCACCTCCCGGGTTCAACTGATTCTCCTGCCTCAGCCTCCGAAGTAGCTGGGATTACAGGCATGCGCCACCATGCCTGGCTAATTTTGTATTTTTAGTAGACACGGGGTTTCACCATGTTGGCCAGGCTATTCTCAAACTTCTGATCTCAGGTGATCCACCCGCCTCAGCCTCCCAAAGTGCTAGAATTATAGGCATGAGCCACCACTCCTGGCCTTTTTTGTTCGTTTCTTTTTTTTTCTTTTTTTTTTTTTTTTTTGAGACAGGGTCTTGCTCTGTCACCCATGCTGGAGTGCAGTGGCATGATCTCAGTTCACTGCAACCTCTGCCTCCCGGGTTCAAGTGACCCTCCCACCTCAGCCCTCTGAGTAGCTGGGATTACAGGTGTGTGCCACCACTCTTGTCTAATTTTTTTGTAGAGACGGGGTTTTGCCATGTTGCCCAGGCTGGTCTTGAACTCCTGGCCTCAAGCAATCCACCTGCCTTGGCCTCCCAAAGTGCCAGGAGTACAGGCATGAGCCACTGCGCCTGGCCCCATGTTTGGTTATTATTAGTGCTTAGGAAGAGGCACTTGCTTACATAGTAGGAGTTGAGAAGCTTGGTTTGTTCTTTCCTACCCCTAGATCTATTCTCACCTCCTGACCATGCTCTTTCTGCCACATCTATTATCATTACAAGTTGCCTTATCTGAAATTAGTGAATCAGAAAATAAAGCAGGGGATACTTTGTGTAGTTTCAACGTTAGGGAAAGTTCAGAATACTGTCTGTCTAAACTATCTCTCTAGAAGGCCTGATGGGCCACAACCTGGGCCAGAAGCATTCAGTTCAGATATGAGAATGGTGGGTGTAGGGGCAATGGCCAATGGGCCATGGCCGGAAGGAAATTGTTACAGAGTAGTGGGAAGCCTGCAAAGACTGGCTTCTGTCCGTTTTGCCTTGGTTTGCCCATGTGGATATTCTTTGCCAATATTTTCTGCCCAAGAGCTGTGCTTGCTAGAGTTGGAAACTGGATGAAAAGGTGAAGACTTTTTTTCTTCTCAACAGCTCACAAAGAAAGTGAACAACATAGAGACGGGCTGGGCCTTGGGGGCCACCTTTCACCTGTTGCAGTCTCTGGGCATCTCCCATTGAGGCCACGTACTTCCTTGGAGACCTGCATTTGCCAACACCTTTTTAAGGGGAGGAGAGAGCACTTAGTTTCTGAACTAGTCTGGGGACATCCTGGACTTGAGCCTAGAGATTTAGGTTTAATTAATTTTACACATCTAATGTGAACTGCTGCCTAACCACTCAAGAGTACACAGCTGGCACCAGAGCATCACAGAGAGCCCTGTGAGCCAAAAAGTATAGTTTTGGAACTTAACCTTGGAGTGAGAGCCCAGGGACAGGTCCCTGGAAACCAAAGAAAAATCGCATTTCAACCCTTTGAGTGCCTCATTCCACTGAATATTTAAATTTTCCTCTTAAATGGTAAACTGACTTATTGCAATCCCAAGACCCATCAATATCAGTATTTTTTTCCTCCCTATACAGTGCCCTGCCCACCCTTATCTGCACCCACCTCCCCTGAAAAAGAGAGAAAAAAAAAAACCTGGTTTTGCTTTCCATGTATAATTCAACAACGCAAAATGGGACCATGTCAGAATCTGTATGATCCTATTCTGTGTTAGCTCCAATCAGCCAGCTGAGAGCCATCCTAAATATTAATAGGATGAGAGAGTAACTCCTAACTGTGCATAAATTACAGCCTTAAGAAAGAAGGCCACCCGGTCTCTGGGGACATGTTTTGGGAGGGTGTGGCTGCCTCATATAGCCTACCTTTGCTTTAATCAGCATTTTATCAGTCAACTCTGGGATTAATGAACATATCCGACTTTATGGGTATGTGTATATTCAGTGCCAGTACCACCTCCCAGGCTAATGTGTTAACAGTGTTTTCTATGATTCTAAACTTGTTTTCTTTGTATTTCTAAGAAATACAACTAGGCCCTAACTTTTGGTCTGTGGTCAGAGGTCAGTGTCTGTGCTATTCCAGGATCTATTATTTCAGTTTGCCCTTTTATTCTCTCCGTTTGTAACAGTACCTTCCTGTCCTGGTCCCTGATCACTTTAGCTAATATCCTTTGAATTATTTATCTAGTTCAGAGTTTCCAATACCGTTCCTGACAAAACCCCACTTGGATTTGGTTGGCTCTCTCAGCCCACATCAGTACAGTGGACCAACATTTCCAGGGAGAACCATATTTAATGTCCCTCATGCTCTCTTTTTGAATCCAAGTGCTCAGAGCTCTTGACTGTGAATTATTTACCCCAAATTCATTATCTTGCACTTTTTTTTGAGATGGAGTCTTGCTCTGTTGCTCAGGCTAGAGTGGAGTGGCGCAATCTCAGCTCACTGCAACCTCCGCCCCCAGGTTCAAGCGATTCTTGTTCTCAGCCTCCTGAAGAGCTGGGATTACAGGTGCCCACCACCATTCCTGGCTAATTTTTGTATTTGTAGTAGAGATGGGGTTTCACCATGTTGGCCAGGCTGGTTTCCAACTCCTGATCTCAATTGATCCACCCGCTTCCCAAAGTGCTGGGATTACAGGCATGAGACACCGCGCCTGGCCTTATCTTGCACTTTCAACATAATCATCCCTGCTTCTCATCTGCCCTGCAGTGCTCTTGGACCTGGAAGATCTCCCTGTGGTCTGGCCCCTTTGCCTTGGTTGTTAACCTCCAGCTTCTTTGCAGGAGTGTATTTCCCCAAAACTTGTGGCTTTCACAGTAGACTCCGTTTCCATCCTCTCTCTCACAAAGGATGTTAAGTATGCCTGGCCCTCACACAGTCCATGGGAAACCTTATTTTTAACATTACTCCATTGAGTCAATAAATATTTACCATCTGCTGTGTGCAAGTTACTAGGCAAATTTCTGTATCCTTGTCCCTAAAATTCTTGTCTTTAAATTCATTGTGGAATTTCTTTAGACTTCACACTGACTTTTATTACTAAGGTCACCTTTATACCAACTGCCTTCCTCAAAATGCTTATAATGAAATAACAGAATCTTGAGTTGGAAACAGCCCAAAGAAATAATCCAATGTTGTACTCAGTGCAGAATTCCCTAGAATTTCTAACAGGTTGTCATTCAGCTTCTGCTAAGCCATGTTCAAACAGCTTATTCCATTTGGAACTGCACTGATATTAAAAAAAATTCCTTATATTGAGCTGAAATCTACCTATCTTCTAAGTGGTCTTAGTTCTGCTCTAATCTCTCCTTCCAAAATCTTTGGATCTTTTGAAAAAAGTTCCTCCCAAGTTCTTTTATAAGTGACATGACTTTTAGACCCCTTCCCATCTTTGTCAACAAAAGTAGGGTGCCAGACCAGTCACAGAACACTAAATGTCATCCATGTTTCCTTCAGTAGAAACCAGCAGTTTTAAAAGAGGTAAGCTGTGTTCACTAAAGACTGTTCCAGCTTGACAAATGCAGAGATATAAGTCTCTGGTCTTTAATCACTGTGGGGGCCATTTTGTAAAACACACATACTGTCCAGCAGACTCCTTTGGTCATCCCAAATACCTCTGAACTCCAGGGAAGATGCATTCTAACTCCACGAACTTACCTATTTTGTTAACCTTGATTAGACCTTCTGGAGAAGTAACCAATTTGTCCATCTTAGGAGCAATTTGGAATGAGAGTTTTTATTTTTTTCTGTAACGCCCATCCTGCCTGCAGTAGACCCTTTGGGCTTAAGAGGTCCTACAGATTCTAATAGTTTCCTCTTTGTAGATGTGTTAACATATTTAAAATACTTAGGACATGGCCTGGTACGTGACAGATGGTGTTTAACATCATTGTCATATGAAGAACACTCTCTGTGGGCCAATGGAGGTGTGCCTTAAAATTCTTCATCTTGCCTGATTTTGTTTGCATAACTTCTGGAGAGTCTGTGTCCTCCTCATCTAGGCCACCTTTCCATTTTTTGTGAAAGATGACCTTGTCCCTGCAGTCTCCGCCAGGAGTCACACAGCTTTTCACAGCAGCTGCCATCTTTAATTCTTTTTCCTGAGATTCCAGCAAGGTTGTGACATTGTCACTTTTTTGTTCTAGACTCTTTTAAATTTTCTGCATTTGCCTGAAAAGCACCCCTGTAAGAATAGATTTCTCATGGCTCTAAAAATTATTCCCAAGAATACCTTACTTGGTTCAAAAGCAGACTGTTTCTCTTCATTTCATCTCAAATCAGACTTCTGGGCAAGATGTTCTTTAGAGTAAGCAAACCTACAACCTAAAAATCTCTTCAAGAGGCATCTCTGGTCTTGTGACGAGACCTCTTCAAAAACCCACAGTAAAACTCCCCTCCCTCCAGTTGGCCACCAGTCTGCCACCAAACATGAACAAATTCTGCTGCTAATCGGTTTCCCTTGTGATCTGGTTCCTGAGGTCTTCGGATCTGTGCAATGAATTATTTATTGTTTTATTAAACCGACAGTGGTGTCCCAGAGAGGAACCATAAATAAAATGGAAATCTGGTGCTGTGATAAAGTAATAACTAGCATTAATGAGACCTGGTTTTCCTTTCAGAAAGTCCAGTATACCTGTAACAAAGGTTAAAGCAATTTATATTTAATTTGCATTCTGATGTTAACATTTAAACAGCAATTCTAACAAAAATGCATCGAGTCTAATTCTTACCTCTATCAAAAAACAACTGTATAAATTTATGACCAACATTAAAACAAAAACAAAATGTAAATTTTCTCTTTAGAAATGATTAACTGGAAATGAGTGAGACAGCACCTTGTGGGTTTTTTAGTAATAAAAAGCTCTTTTCAACCAAATTGTAAGTCTTCCTTCGAAGTTTTTTCCTTTGGTCTGGCTAATATACGCTCCTCACAGCAAATTATCATTCATTATTTGGGTGCCACAGGCCCATTAAGCAAAGAAGAAAAAGAGAATTTTAATGTAAAGTAAGTTTATTAAATTAAATAAGATCTTGAAAATATGTATGATGGGTCCTGGGCAGGATGTTCTTTTTCATCAACGTAATCTTTCTTTAGGAGAGGAGTACTCATTTGCTTGCAAAGGCCATAATCTGTTCCTGGAGAAAAAATAAAAGTGAATGAAACTCTTAACACAGTAAGGTGAAGAAAATAATTATTGTAGATAATAATCACGTAGGTATTCTTCCCAAGTGTCCTTGTTTTATTTCAGCTAAAAAAAGAAAAATATACATACATATACACACGTTTTAGAGACAGGGTCTCACTCTGTTGACTGGGCTGGAGTGCAGTGGTGTGATCATAGCTCACTGCAGCCTCAAACTCCTAGGCTCAAGCAATCCTCCCTCCCCAGCCTCCTATAAAGTGCTGGGATTACAGGTGTGAGCCACTGCACCCATCAGAAAAAACATATCTTTAAATGGAAGTTCTCAGGGATGAAACTAGTCAAGCAGCAAAAGGAGCTTAAACATCTTCATCATTAGAAATCCCTATTCATTTTTTTTTTTCAAGAGACTGGTCTTAACTCTGTCACCCAGTCTGAGTAACAATGATGTGATCATAGCCCACTGCAGCCTCAAACTCCTAGGCTTAAATTATCCTCTTGCCTCAGTCTCCTGAATAGCTAGGACTACAGGCATGTGCCACCACACTCCCTATTCACTATTTTTAAGCCCTTTTTATACATAGTTATTGCTTAGATGTGGGCCGTAACACCTAAAAGCCTAGCAAGTACTCTTCTGCTTGTAACCCTTGGGAAGGCAAACACATAAAGATAATAATTTTACAGCCAAGAAAATTAATTCAAAGAAATTAAGAGCTGTGGGCCAGCCGCAGTGGCTCACGCCTGTAATCCCAGCACTTTGGGAGGCCGAGGCAGGCAGATCACGAGGTCAGGAGTTCAAGACCAGCTTGGCCAACATGGTGAAACCCCATCTCTACTAAAAATAAGAAAATTAGCCGGGTGTGGTGGTGGGCGCCTGTAATCCCAGCTACTTGGGAGGCTGAGGCAGGATAATCACTTGAACCTGGGAGGCAGAGGCTGCAGTGAGTGGAAATTGTGCCACTGCACTCCATCCTGGGCGATAAGACCAAGACTCTGTTTCAAAAAAAAGCAAAAGAAATTAAGAGCTGTTTGCAAAGTCATTCCTCTGAGCAACCTCTTACTTTGAGTGGAGACACTGCATTTGTGGCCTGCAAGCCCCACGTCCTGAGCAACACAAGCGGGGAGGCACTGGTAGAATAGAGCCTTTTTAGTAAGTCTGTAGCAGCCAGAAGAGCAGTGTTGTGACGCTGTCTTTCTGTTTCATAACCTGTGAGGTGGCTCACGGAACCTGAAGGGCAGAGGAAAGATTAAATCCCTAATCCAATAATAAGGTTTTCTTCCATCTCCTAGCAAGCCAGATATATTTTATGTCCACTCCCTCTTGCTACTGTGGGCCCTGATCTTGCCTAACTATATGACCTCTGGATACTTCCCCATAGTATCTGAATCCTTACCTAAGTCCTTCCCATTGAAGGCTGCCGTACTGAGGTGATGGGCCAAGCTGGAGATATCCCCAAAGCCCATGTTGACACCCTGTCCTGCAAGCGGATGGACTCTGTGGGCTGCATCCCTAAGAATAAAGCAGAGTTCAGGTGTGACCTCTGGCAGCAAAGTGAGAAGGGAGTGGCCCTGCTCTGTTATCGTCTTACCCAATGAGCGCCACCCGAGGCCTGACGTACTCAGCAGCATGTCCCAACCCAAGAGGAAACAGAACTCGGCTTTTGGCATCCACCCTGGCTACGCTTGGGGGCAGCTGGCGAGCCGAGACCTTAGTGGGCTTCAGAAGGCTGACAGCATACTGCAGCATGGCACCAGCTGTGTCGATGAAGTCCGTGTGGTCAGCATCACTCCACTGAGCAGCATCAGCCACAAGACAAACAAGGTGAAATGTGAGTAGCAGGGAATTAAAAATTCAATAAAGAAACCTTGTTTGTAACCAAAGCTTAGGCTAATGCTACCCAACTTGCCTACACTGATCTTGACAAGTGATAAGCCCCTCAAGTGCAAAGCAACTTCTCATCACTCCCCAGAGGTTTTAAGATCTAGCCAAACTGTACATGAGCTGGCCCCTGCCTACTTCTGAGCTTCACCTTTCACTAGTCCCCACCCTCAATAACCACGCACCAGCCACAGTATAGCTCATCACACAGTATCCTTCTACCTCCATGACTCTCCTCTGCTTAGAATGCCCGTCTCTATTTCATTAGGATAACATCTCAGAGCATCCAGAAGACGTCGCCTCTTTTTAACTCCTCCAGTCTTTCTCTGTGTTTCCCCCCTGTATGCTTCCACAGCATCCTATGCATACTTCTATCACTGTACGGAGATTGTCATTTACGGTCTTCCTTACTTGACTATGAACTTCCTGAAAGCGGAGACTGTTCTCAGTATCTCCAGAGCCTGCTACATAGAAAGGACAATTAATGGTGAATGACTGCACTGCAGAGGACCTAGACCTGTGCCAGGAATATATACTAAATGGCCCAGAGTAGGGTAGTGTTCACCATTTATCTCGGAATCCATTTCAGTATGTTCAGTTCCCTTTATTCTTGTTGCTACTACAGAGCAGTGGAGTCTTTGGTGTGAAGGTAGCAGGCTTTGAGTGTCATTTAGGCTCCAAAAGTAATACTGGTACCCATATTATCCAAAGGCTGTGTCTACTCCAGAATTATTAGTATTTGTTGAGCACCTACAATGTACTAAAGATGTTCCATGGATTTTACAAAAGTTCTCTCATTTTGAAAGTCTTTATTCAATCCTGAGCAGTTAGTGATACTATTTACATTTTGAACCCACATCTATCTACTAAGCTTACTCTTAAGCCCCATGCTGAAATTCGCTCGGCCTTTCCCTAGGAATACTTTCAATGAATCAGGCTTGAAAGGTTCAGGTAGCTGCAACCTAGCAGAACTGTTCAAAATAATCCAAGTGTTACAGCTTCAAAAAAAGGCCAATGCTAACCACCACCCAGGCAGCTGTTTCAGTCAGCCTAACAGCAGCCCACAACCCTCAAAAGGTTATTATTTATTATTTCTATTGTTTTGCATTTCCGTGTGTACACTCCTCCACATAATCTAGACCAAGCATTATAGTTACAAAGTAGAAAGGGACAGCTGACTGGTTACTCCTTTTTCCTGACTCAAAACCACCTTTCTGGCTGGGTGCAGTGGCTCACGCCTGTAATCCCAGCACTTTGGGAGGCCAAGGCAGGCAGATCACTTGAGGTCAGGAGTTTGAGACCAGCCTGGCCAACATGGTGAAACCTCATCTCTACTAAAAATAGAAAAATTAGCTGGGCATGGTGGCACGTGCCTGTAGTCCCAGCTACTTAGGAGGCTGAGGCAGGAGAATCGCTTGAACCCGGGAGGCGGAGATTGCACAGTGAGCCAAGATCGCGCCACTGCGCTCCAGCCTGGCAAGGATCCGTTTCAAAAAAAAAAAAACAACACCTTTCTGTATCTCCCCCTGCAGCACATCATCAGCTGGGTAAATTGATACTCACAAAGGCAGAGTTAACGGCATCCACAAATTTTTCCTCATCCATGCTAACTAGCTCTGCTGCATGTTCATGGGACGTGGACCAAACCAAGGAACTCAAGGTGTCTGAGAGCTGTGTCAAAAGAACACCAATACCAACGGCTAAGACTCTGCTGCACTTGGAAACTCTCAAGCATAAAAAGACAAAAAGGGAACTTACAAACAGCCTGGGCAGATTCCCTTGAAACCAGAAAAAGGCTGAGAGAAAGTGAAGAGGAAAGGCTTGCATGCATGTGGGCGGACTGGTCAGAAGGACCTCTTACCGGGAGCAGAGCAATAGGCCCAGAGGGAAGAAATCTCTGCCAGGCTACGTTGTTTTCTGTGGCCTGCAACAGAGAGGAGAAAAGTTTCTCTGTGAAGTACCTAGTGCCTATGAATAAAGTCCCCAGATGGCAGCTCAGGATCTTACCTCTGATAAATGCAGAGTAGCCACAACAGCAGACTGGTCATAGTTCCAGCTCACATTCTGGATTCCAACAGCCTGCCGTACTCCGGAGTTGTGACCATCTGCACCTATCTGCATGGACACATGAGCCTGCTAAGTCTTCCAGCCTCTTCATAAACTGCTTCAGAAGTTTTTCTCTGCTCCCTAAAGTTTCCTCCAGCTCTGATTGTTGTGTGGCAGGATAATTCCATCAGGCCTGCTTCACTCACAGCCCCTAGAGGTGGAGCCCCTGCACTGTCACATCAGCCTCAGCCAACAGAGCCAAAGCTGGACATGACTGAACAGGTGCCAGCCATGAGTTAAACTCAGCCAGGCCCTCCTGATATTTGAACTAGAGAGCAATAAGGAAAGTTTCAGTATGGGGCACACACTGGAGCTGAATAGTTCTGATGTAGGGTTAGGAATGGCTACCATGCAAAAAGGGAAGCTTGTGAGCAGAAAGGAGAAAAATGAGAGGCAAGAGATCAATGACCACAGACTCCTCAGAGGGAAAGAACAGCCTCCATTCCCAACACTCTGGTGCCTGTCCTGTGAGGCCCAGCTATCTGTTATTTCACAACCTAAGACGGCCCATGAGATTGCTCCCTGTACAGGATTTACGATGAGACCATCTCCACTTGAGCTGGCCTGAATAGGTACTGGTCCTCATAACCAAAAGTTTTGCCTAAAATTAAACTATAGCTTAAATCGAAAACCAGAGTCCCTAGAATCTAGGATAAGATGTAGATATACAAGACCCCTAGCAAAATAAGAATCTTCAACTACCAACAATTTGGTCTGGAAGGTGCTGCCATCACCTAGGGTAATATGAACCCAAGGGCTGGAGTCGGCCATAGGAAATGGACAAGGCCAGGTATAGCGAATGGCTTTGCTCCTGTAGAGAACCGTCACTCGGTCTGGGGAGGTCAAAAGAGAGGAAAAAAAATTAGAAAGGTGGGCCACATAGGCTGAGGAAAAAGCCATAACTAAACCTAAAGCAAGGTCCCAGGACAGCAGTGTCTTGTCATTTAAGATTAAAAAAATCAGTAATTAATGCTGTGGTCTGAGCTAATAAATGACAGAAGCCACAGAGATAACTCAATGTCAAAAAAAGACATTGAAGTTCTCAGTGAACTCTGTCAGAGGCACTCTTTCTTACTGTCCACATGCTTCTGCGCCTCCATTTTCACTCTACGCTTAAATGAGCCCGTGTTTGCTTTTACAGTAGACAGGCTGGGAATACCATAGGCTGAAACAAATCCTAGACTACAAAAGATTTTCTTCCAGCTGGAAATCATTTTATTTTTCTGGTCATAAAAACAATACGCTCTATGGCCAGGCACGGGTGGCTCATGCTCGTAATCCTAGAACTTAGGGAGGCTGAGGCAGGAGGATCACTTGAGCCCAGGAGTTCAAGACCAGCCTGAGCAACATGGTAAAACCCCATCTTTACAAAAAATTAACCAGGCGTGATGGTGCGCACCTGTCGTCCCAGTTAGTCAGGAGGCTGAGGTGAGAGGATTGTTAAGCCACTGCACCCCAGCCAAGGAGGACAAAGCAAGACCTTGTCTCAAAACAAAACAAAACACTATCTCCAAAAACATCAGCCTGTATACATCATTTACAGCTTTTTGTATGTCAGTCAGTCATACTGTCAACAAAGCGATTTAAATAATAGAGGGCCAGCACAGTGGCTTACGCCTGTAATCCCAGCACTTTGGGAGGCCGAGGTGGGTGGATCACGAGGTCAGGAGATTGAGACCACGGTGAAACCCCATCTCTACTAAAAATACAAATAATTAGCTGGGCACGGTGGCAGGCGCCTATAGTCCCAGCTACTCCAGAGGCTGAGGCAGGAGAATGGTGTGAACCTGGGAGGCCGAGCTTGCAGTGAGCCGAGACTGTGCCACTGCACTCCAGCCTGGGCGACAGAGCGAGACTCCATCTCCAAAAAAAAAAAAATAATAATAATAATAATAAGCTCGCTGTAGAAGTCTGGACAACAAAGAAAGGTTCAAGTGGAGAAAAATCACCCTTAAACTACTCAGAGACAACTGCAATTACAGCTTTGGTGTATGACTTTCCAGACAATTTCCTATGCATGTACATGCACACACAAGTGTGATCATATGACCCAATATATTATGGAACAAATTTATAAGTTATTAAATTTTAGATTCAAATTATCTTTAAAAGCTACATCATGGTTCACTGCATGAACTACTATCCAATATCAAAAAGCATTTAAGTTACTTCCAATTTTTCTCTCTCTAGAACATTAAGATATTTGCAAGCCGCATAACTGATAAATTTATATTTAAAATATATAAAGAACTCCTATAACTCAAAAACAAATAATCCAATTTAAAAACAGGCAAAATATTTTGAACAGACATTTCTCCAAAGTGGATACACAAATGGCCAGTAAGGACATGAAAAGATACTCAGCATCATTAGTTATTAAGGAAATGCAACCACTACTACAATGAGATACAACTTCACTCTCAACAGGATGGCTACAGTTTTTTTTTACAGAAGGAAAATAAGCGTTGGTGAGGATGTGGAGAAACTGGAACCCTTATAGACTGGTGGGAAAGTGAAATTGTATAGCCTCTTCAGAAAAGTTTGGCAGCTTCTGAAAATATTAAACATAGAATTATTATATGACCCAGCAATTCCACTTCTAAGTATCCAGCACCGTGAAATAATCATCAGAGGAATTTTTTTTTTTTTTTTGAGACGGAGTCTTGCTCTGTCGCCCAGGCTGGAGTGCAGTGGCGTGATCTCGGCTCACTGCAAGCTCCACCTCCTGGGTTCACGCCATTCTCCTGCCTCAGCCTCCCAAGTAGCTGGGTCTATAGGCGCCCGCCACCATGCCTGGCTAATTGTTTCTTTGTATTTTTAGTAGAGACAGGGTTTCACCATGTTAGCCAGGATGGTCTCCATCTCCTGACCTCGTGATCCGCCCGCCTTAGCCTCCAAAAGTGCTGGGATTACAGGCGTGAGCCACCGCACCCGGCCATCAGAGGATTTCTTTATGGTGGACACTGAATATTGTAAAAGAGATCCTTTCTTCCAGTAAGTCCTAAGCAGTTCACTTCCCAATGAATGCAAGGTGGAAGATGGGGGCCTCACCAGACACAGCCTCCAACTGCTTAGTGAGAGCATGCATGATGACATCATTCTCCACGATATAGCCCATGTCATCTAAATTATCCTTATCAAACATTATCAGGGCCTCTGAGCAGGCGTCCCACACCTGGAAACACAAAAGGAAAGTCTGCATTAAAACCAAGAGGGAAACATCACTCCAATCAGAAACAATATTGCTTTCCCAAGTGACAGAGCAGAAAATCACAATTTGTCAGCCTCTCTGGTAGGAAAATATAAAATGAGAAGAAAATTCTCCTGGGAATGCTTCTCCCCACTTCCTCGGACTGAATGTGAACCTTGTCTGATTCCTCCTACATTCACAGAACACTTGGAGAAAGTGGACTCCGATATCTTAAGACAGACCAAGACATCTTGACAAAATTGAAAAGATAAAGGGGCACCTGCATTCGCCGAAAGGCTCTGTATCTCATGTTGCAGATATGGTCCCAGGCACCAAAACCTACAAAAGAAAGGATCTATAGACCAGAGTGACTTCACAAGGACCTGGGCTCCCCCTTGTCCCTCCATCCTGTTACGTAAGAGGTTGTTTTCAGTGTTCTTCAATAATACTCTCCACTTCTATCTTGTTTGATGTTAGTACCTAAGCTACTCTGTTCCCCAGTTCCAGGTTGTATAGCATGAAAAAAGACCCAGCTTCTGCCGGGCGCGGTGGCTCATGCCTGTAATCCCAGCACTTTGGGAGACTGAGGCGGGCGGATCACGAGATCAGGAGATAGAGACCATCCTGGCTAACACCGTGAAACCTCATCTTCACTAAAAAATACAAAAAATCAGCTGGGCGTGGTGGCGGGCGCCTGTAGTCCCAGCTACTTGGAGAGGCTGAGGCAGGAGAATGGCCTGAACCCGGGAGGCGGAGCTTGCAGTGAGCCGAGATCGTGCCACTGCACTCCAGCCTGGGCAACAGAGCGAGACTCCGTCTCAAAAAAAAAAAAAAATAAAATAAAAAAAAAAAAGACTCAGCTTCCATGATCAAAAGGTCAAATCACATAAAGTAGGGGAAATTAAAAACGAAAACCAAATCCATGTATTTTTTTTTTTTTTTTTTTGAGACGGAATCTCGCTCTGTAGCCCAGGCTGGAGTGCAGTGGCGGGATCTCGGCTCACTGCAAGCTCCGCCTCCCGGGTTCACCCTATTCTCCTGTCTCAGCCTCCCCAGCAGCTGGGACTACAGGCATCCGCCGCCATGCCCGGCTCATTTTTTTGTATTTTTAGTAGAGACAGGGTTTCACCGTGTTAGCCAGGATGATCTCGATCGCCTGACCCTGTGATCCGCCTGCCTCAGCCTCCCAAAGTGCTGAGATTACAGGCGTGAGCCACCGCACCCGGCCCCAAATCCATATTGTTCTTTTTCTTCATCATCCTGCTGAAGTTATAAACCTCGTAAAGACAATTTTTAAAAAATTATTTTTACAAAGGATTTCTAGTAACTTGAAACCATTTGTTTTTTCTTTTTCAAGATACAAGGTCTTGGTATGTTGCCCAGGCTAGACTTAAACTCCTGGGCTCAAGCAATCCTCCCATCTCAGCCTTCCAAGTGGCCAGGACTATAGGTACACATGACTGTGCCTGGCCTATGTTCTATTTTTTAGCTCTTCATAGCACTGAACAGATTTATTCATTGAGGAAATATTTACTGAGCACCGACTATGTGCCAAATACAGTAAAGTGGGAAACCAATGGACAAAGTCCTTGGCCTTCTGCAGTTAACATTCTAATTGGAGAGATGGACAATAAAAAACAAACACATAATATAATGCCAGGTAGTAGTAAGCATTATGAAGAAAAATAGAGCAGGGAAAGGGGCTAGAAAGTGATGGAAGAGTTCAATTTGAGATGGGGTGGTTTCAGACAGGATGGTCTGAGGGAAACATCTAGCAGACCTAATGACAATTTGCTAACTGGTTCCATGTGCACACATTATTCATCTGCACCCCAAGGGAATTTCACGTGTAAGCTCCCTAGCTTGCTAGAAGGCTTGACTCAGGATGAAGAGAGCCCTGCTATTCAAAGTGAATGTTCATGATTAGTTCATATGATTTCAGTTCCACCAATTCATAATGACACAACATCACAAGTGAAGTCAACATGATGGACCCACATGCCTCAAGGATGCATTCCTCAGACAGGGAGTTGAGGCAGTAGCAACTGCAGGGGTCCACATCTTCAACTCTGCCCTAGACTACCAATCCCACCCCCTCTCTCCACCCACCTCAGTGAGCTCCCTCCTTGTCAGATGCTCTGATGACTCTGCCCCATGGGATACACTAGAAAGCTAAGTGGGAAAGGAGATTGGATCTTTGAAGGAGGATCTTCTACTCACTACTGAGAAGCGTTGCAGAGCCAGGGGAAATGGAGCTGACCCTGTTGCTGTAAGTTTCTGACAATTTCTCCAGTACTTTCTTTGGACCTGCTTCGAGCAACAGGATTTTCTTGTCATGAAAGTGAATATCATATCCTTAAAAAAAGAAAATTTATATCATCTTAGGAAAATCAAGAATTTCCTTTCCCATTACCAAGAGAAACAACAGAGTAACCACTTAACCCTTAGAATATGAATTTCTTACAGAGAACATAAACACTATACCCATGCAGAGTCCTAAGCAATAACATATACCACCATTTTAGCTATGAGAACCACCCTGCCCACAACTGTAAGACTTCTCCAAAGACCACTACATGCCACGTGCCAAGAAGCAAATAATGGCAAACACCTAACTAGCAAACAGAATGCCCTAGAAAGGAAAAATGAAGTAAAAAAGTTAGACTACAGTATTTAAACACCAGTTCTTTTCAATCTCCAGAGTATTAAGTCACTAAAAATTACAACTCCTGTTCAAAAGAAAAAGTGGAATAAACAAGCAAAATTCAATGCAGTCTCAAGATTAAACCAAGAATAAAGAATTAGAGTTTATAAAGGCCGGTGCGGTGGCTCACACCTGTAATCCCAGCACTTTGAAGGCCGAGGTGGACAGATCACCTGAGGTCAGGAGTTCAAGACCAGCCTAGCCAACATGGTGAAACCCGTCTCTACTAAAAATACAAAAAAATTAGCCAGGTGTGATGGCGGGCACCTGTAATCCCAGCTACTTGGGAGGCTGAGGCAGGAGAATCGCTTGATCCTGGGAGGAGGAGATTGCACCACTGCACTCCAGCCAGGGCAACAAGAGCAAAATTCTGTCTCAAAAAGAAAGAATTAGAGTTTATAAAAGAAAACGTGAGCCAGGCATGGTGGCTAACGCCTGTAATCTCAGCATTTTGGGAGGCCGAGGTGGGAGGATTGCTCAAGCCTAGGAATTCAAGACCAGCCTGGGCAACATGGCGAGACCCTGTCTCTACAAAAAAAAATTTTTTTTAACTAGCCAGGCATGGTGGCACACCTGAGCTATGTTTGTGCAACTGCAGTCCTACCTGGGGGACAGAGCAAAACCCTGTCTCAAAAACTACAAAAAAGAAAAGAAAAGAAAGAAAGGTCAGGCACAGTGGGTCACACCTATAATCCCAGCACTTTGGGAGACTGAGGTGATGGATCAGTTGAGCTCAGGAGTTCAAGACCAGCGTGGGCAACATGGTGAAACCCCATCTCTACTAAAAACACAAAAATTAGCCAGGTGTGATGGCGGGCGCCTGTGGTCCCAGCTCCTCAGAAGGCTGAGGCAGGAGAATCACTGGAACCTGGGAGGCAGAGGTTGCAGTGAGCTGGGATCCTGCCACTGCACTCCAGCCTGGGTGACAGAGCAGAGACTCTGTCTCAAAAAAAAAAAAAAAAAAAAAAAAAGTTAGCTCCAGCCATACAGACAGTGAGCGGTCCATCTTGGCAGCTTTTGCTGTGGAGGATGGGGCACAGGGACATGCTCTGTAGAGCATGCTCTGTAAAGGGCACTATCTTCTTTTTTTTTTTTTTTTTTTTTTGAGATATCGAGTTTCGCTCTTGTTGCCCAGGCTGGAGTGCAGTGGCGCGATCTCAGCTCACTGCAACCTCCCCCTTCCAGTTTCAAGCGATTCTCCTGCCTCAGCCTCCCAAGCAGCCATGAGAACCACCCTGTTACAGAAGTCTATGATCTGCTTTAAGTTAAATTTTGTGTATCTTGTGAGATGAGGATCATAGGGTGGAACAGCTGCCCTTAGATCAGGGTGTCCAATCTTTTGGCTTCCCCAGGCCACAGTGGAAGAATTGTCTTGGGTCACATATAAAAAAACACTAATATTAATGATAGCTGATGAGCTAAAAAAAAAAAAAAAATCACAAAAAAAAAATCTCATAATGGGCCAAGCATGGTGATTCATGCCTGTAATCCCAGCACTTTGGGAGGAAGGGGCAGGTGGATCACGAGATCAGGAGTTCGAGACCAGCCTGGCCAATATGGTGAAACCCCGTCTCTACTAAAAATACAAAAATTAGCCAGGCATGGTGGCACAAGCCTGTAATCCCAGAGGTTGCAGTGAGCTGAGATCGTGCCATTGTACTCCATCCTGGGCAACAAGAGCGAAACTCCATCTCAGGGAAAAAAAAAAAAGTGAAAAGACTACAAAATGGAAGAAAATATTTGCAAGTCATTTATCAGATAAGGGACTTATACAGAATAAACAAAATAATGGCCAGGCAGGGTTGCTTATGCCGGTAATCCCAGCACTTTGGGAGGCTGAGGCAGGTGGATTGCTTGAGCCCAGAAGTTCCAGACCAGCCTGGGCAACATAGTGAGACCTCGTCTCTACAAAAAAATACAAAAATCAGCCGAGTGGTGGCGCATTCCTGCAGTCCCAGCTATTTGGGAGGCAGAGGCAGGAGGATCAATTCAGCCAGGGAGGTTGAGGCTACAGTGAGCCGTGATCGTGCCACTGCACTGCAGCCTGGGCACAGCGGAAGACCCTGTCTCAAAAAATAAAAATAACTCTTACCACAGTATTCAAGAGACAAACTGCTCAATTAAAAACCGGGCAAAGGGTCTGAATAGGCATTTCTCTAAAGAAGATATACAAATGACCAATAAACATATGAAAGGATATTCAACATCATTAATCATTAGGGAAATACAAGTCAAAACCTGGAGATCCCACTTTACTTACACCCACTAGAATGTCTATAAACAAAAAGACAATGACAAGTACTGTCCAGGATCTGGAGAAACTGGAACTCTCATTTATAAATAACCCCGGGAAGGCCTGTTTTCCCATGAGTAGAACAGACTCTGAACGCCCCTCCCACTTTTGACCCTAATGGACCCTGAAGGACCACACGCATTCCGGCGTGCCCTGGGGTTCCTCTAGGAGGGGAGGGGAGAAGCGTCGCGAGACCTGAGAAATTGTCTTTGGGCAAGTCGTGCTAGGGCTCTCACGGCTCTCATCGTGCCTCCGCGGCCCGGTTTCCGGCCACTAGTAGCCTGGAGAAGGGCTTACCCAAGGCACAGGCCATGGCAGCGCCCACCAGGCCTCCACCCGACACCACCACGTCATACACGGTGTCTGTTGAGGCGCCGGACCACCTGCGCCAGGACACCAGCGGGCCGCTGTGGGGAGCTGCACGCACAGCCCCGCATCGGCTGACAAGCCGGGCCGCCATGGTGCAGACCTGCGCCGTCGCACTCAGAACTCCCGCAGGCCCACCTACGTAGTGCGTCCGGAGCAGAGCACTCCAATCCCGTCCCGCTTCCGCGGCGTCCTCAGAACCGGAAATAAAATGCGCGGAGAAAATAGGCCAATCGGAAAACGAACCTTGCCTCCTCGGGCGGGATGGATCGGAGGCTGCCCTGGAAGCCAACCAGACGCCAAAGCTAGAAAGGGGTGGACCCTGGCCCCGCATAGCTCTCGCTGCCACCGCTGCTGCCACTATCGCTGTCACTGTCGCTGCTGCCTCTGTCCAGCTGAAATGACCGTGGGGAGGCCTGAGGGAGCCCCCGGAGGCGCGGAGGGGAGCCGTCAGGTGAGGAGAGAAAAGAGACTGCCCCCGGGAAAGGAATCCCGGAGAGGAAACTGTTGGGCGTTGCCTTGGAGACAGACAGCAGGGGCGTGTCACGGAGGGGCGTGGGATTAAAATGAGCGTTTAGGGACCAGGAGGCGGACTCTGACTTACAGACCTGAACCTCTCGGACTTTATACGAGGCTCTTGATAGGCAATGTCACTCAGTTTTCGCTTATCCTCTTAGTACTCTATGACCAGTAGTACAATTGTCGTCTCATTTTTGTAGAAGAGAAAACTGAGGCACAAAGAGATTAAGAAAATTGCTCCCCAAATTTGGCCGGGCGTGGTGGTTCACGCCTGTAATCCTAGCACTTTGGGAGGCCGAGGCGGGTGGATCACCTGAGGTCAGGAGTTCGAGACCAGCCTGGCCAACATGGTGAAACTCCGTCTAAAAATTTAAAAAAAAAAAAAAAATTGGCCAGGCGCGCTGGCTCACGCCTGTAATCCCAGCACTTTGGGAGGCCAAGGAAAGCGGATCATGAGGTCAAGAGATCGAGACCAGGCTGGTTTCCATGGCAAAACCCCGTCTCTACTAAAAATACAAAAATTGGCCGGGTGCGGTGGCTTACTCCTGTAATGCAGCACTTTGGGACCTGAGGTCAGGAGTTCAAGACCAGCCTGACCAACATGGAGAAACCCTGTCTCTACTAAAAAAAATACAAAATTAGCTGGACGTGGTGGCACATGCCTGTAATCCCAGCTACTCGGGAGGCTGAGGCAAGAGAATTGCTTGAACCTGGGAGGTGGAGGTTGCAGTGAGCCGAGATTGTGCCATTGCACTCCAGCCTGGGCAACAAGAGCAAAACTCTCTCAAAAACAAAAACAAACAAACAAAAAAATACAAAAAATTATCTGGGCATGGTGGTGCGCGCCTGTAGTCCTAGCTACTCGGGAGGCTGAGGCAGGAGAATCACTTGAACCCGGGAGGTGGAGGTTGCAGTGAGCCAAGATTGCACCACTGCACTCTAGCCTGGCGACAGAGCGAGACTCCGTCTCAAAAAAAAAAAAAAATTAGCCAGGTGTGGTGGCGCGTGCCTCCAGTGATCCACCAGCCAAGGCCTCCCAAAGTGCTGGGATTACAGGCGTGAGCCAGTGCACCTGGTGGACCCCAAACTATTAAAGGCAAAAAGTAGATTGGCAGTTGCTTAGGGCTGGTGGGGTGGGGTGTGGAGGGTTAGGGGAAATAGGGAGTGACCACTAAAGCGTGTGGCATTTCTTTTAAGGGCGATGAAGGTGTTCTAAAATTGTGATGGTAGTTGCACAACTCTGTGTATATACTAAAACCACTGAATTGTACACTTTAAATGAGTGAATATATTGTATAGAAATTATGTCTTAATAAAGTTGTCTTTAAAAGAAAAGAAAAAACGTGCCCAAGATCACACACTGTAGCAGAGCCAGGGCTAGGGTGCATACATATCTCTGACTCTTACCCTGGATTTTAGTAAGCCTGGCTCCTCATCAATCAAGTGTCAATTCAAAATTCCTCCACAATGAAAAATAAAAATCAGCCCAGGACTGAGAAAGTATAACTCAGACTGTCATAGGCATAGATAATGCCAACGGCAAGAGCATCAGGAAACAGTGTTTCTCTCAGGGCCATAACATAGGTGCAAAATTACTAACACCCCTTCTTCCAAAAGGCTTACTGATCAATTACTTACCCACCCTACTTTATTCTTCTCACCTTTTGAATAAGTATTGCCGTTGGGCGGGGCCCAATGGCTCACGCCTGTAATCCCAGCACTTTGGGAGGCCAAGGCAGGCGGATCATTTGAGCTCAGGAGTTGGAGACCAGCCTGGGAAGCATGGTGAAACCCCATCTGTACAAAAAATACAAAAACTAGCCAGGTGTGATGGTGTGTGCTGTAGTCCCAGCTACTCGGGAGGCTGAGGTGGGAGGATCATCACCTGAGCTCAGGAGGTTCAGGCTGCAGTGAGGCATGATTGCACCACTGCACTCCAGAACCTGGGTGACAGAGCAAGAACCTGTCTCAAAAAAAAAAAATTGCTCAGTCATTCGCTTAACTAAATTGTCCCCACTTCATGACAGCACCATTCCAGAGTTGATACCTGGTTCCCTGAATCAATCAGGGAAGCCAACCCTATAAAAATCACACCCTCAACCCTAAGTTCCCTGTGGTTTTCCGTAGTGTCCTGCAGCAAGTTAATAAGCCTAACTGATGTACTGATTACAAGTACATTCCTAATAACCTTAATCTGATGGACTTTATCAACCAAAAAGCTTTCCATAGGCACTCCATCTTTTTATAACCTCACAGTTGTTTATGGTTTTCACAGAATTTATCATCATCTTATATTGTCTGTCTCCTCTTACTACAGTGTAAGCTTCATGAGAGTAAGGACCTTGTTTGTCTTGTTCTCAGCCAAATGCCCAGTGCACATCAGGCACCCAGTAAATATTTTATGAATGAATGGAGTACTGAAAAAGTTAATTGTGTGTCCCACTTCTTAAGACATTGCTCTTCCAGCCAGACCATACTGTCTGTCTTGTTAATCATCCATTCCTTTTTTTTTTTTTTTTTTTGAGACGGAGCATCACTCTTGTTGCCCAGGCTGGAGTGCAGTGGCGCAATCTCATCTCACTGCCACCTCCGCCTCCCGGGTTCAAGCGATTCTCCTGCCTCAGCCTCCCCAGTAGCTGAGATTACAGGCACCCGCCACCACGCCCAACTAATTTTTGTATTTTTGTAGAGACGGGATTTCACCATGTTGGTCAAGCTGGTCTTGAACTCCTGACCTCAGGTGATCCACCTCCCTCGGCCTCCCAAAATGCTGGGATTACAGGCATGAGCCACTGCACCCAGCCATCATCCATTCCTTGACAGAGTGCAAATTAGCTAGAACATGAGGAAAGCAGAGGAGTAGAAATAAGGGAAGGGAGAGAAGGAAGATGAGCAAGAAGTAGGTTAAAACCCAAGTAAGGGAGAGTGTGGCCATCATCATGGGCAGGATTCCTGGAGTGCAGGGGTCAGAAAGCCTGGTGTAGGTGAGGTACTCTGTAAAAGCTTACTGCACTGTATGGCATAGGGAACCAACTTCAGCTCTTCACTTCCCTCTCCATCCCTTCAACCAAGCGCACTTCATAGACCAAGTTGTGAAATTTCTTTAGACCAAGAAACACACCTTATTTTTAAAAATTCCTCCCAAAGTGTTGGGATTACAGGTGTGAGCCAGTGCATCTGGCAGACCCCAAATTCTCCCCAGTCCCTAATATACAGAAGCTTATTCAAAGCGAAATTAAGTTATGATTTGAATACCTTTGAAATTATTGTTTGACCCACAGCCTATTTCTATTCTATTTTAGATATTTCCCCCCGAGTCCTTCGCAGACACAGAGGCAGGAGAGGAGCTGTCCGGGGATGGGCTGGTTTTGCCCAGGGCCAGCAAACTTGACGAGTTCCTCAGCCCAGAGGAGGAGATAGATTCTACTTCTGACTCAACTGGGAGCATTTACCAGAACTTACAGGAACTGAAGCAGAAAGGGAGATGGTGTCTGTTGGAGTCTCTCTTTCAGTCTGACCCAGAGAGTGATGAAAACCTCTCTGAAGATGAGGAGGACCTGGAGAGTTTCTTCCAAGACAAGGACAGGGGGATGGTGCAGGTCCAGTGCCCGCAGGCTCTGAGGTAAGGCACTGCAGCTCCACGGCTGCCTCACTCCACACCTCCACACAGGTCACATCGTGTCTCTGGGCTTCATCTTCCTCTGTAAAGCAAAGAGCACTTCTGCAAGTTGCCATTTACTGAGGCTCTAGCTGAGAATCAGCTTTTGGTTCCAAACAGGTGTTCTGATTCCTCCCCAGGAATCCTGAATTACTTTGGGCAACACTTAGTCCAGTGATGCACTGGAATTAATTAAAGGGCAGCCTTTCCTCAGGTGCAGGGGCTCACACCTGTAATTCCAGCACTTTGGGAGGCTGAGGCAGGCGGATCACTTGAGGTCAGGAATTCGAGACCAGCCTGGCCAACATGGTGAAACCCCATCTCTACTAAAAATACAAAAATTAGCCAGTCATGGTGGCGTGTGCCCGTAATCCCAGCTACTCAGGAGGCTGACGCATGAGAATCCCTTGAGCCCAGGAGGTGGTGGTTGCAGTGAGCTGAGATCACGCCACTGCACTCCAGCCTGAGCAACAGAGCAAGACTCTGTCTCAACAAATAAAAATAAAATAAAATTTAAAAATGGGCCGGGCACCGTGTTTACGCCTCTAATTCCAGCACTTTGGGAAGCCGAGGTGGCTGGATCATGAGGTCAGGAGTTCAAGACCAGCCTGGCCAAGATGGTGAAACCCCGTCTCTACTAAAAATATAAAAAAATTAGCCGGGCATGGTGGCAGGTGCCTGTAATCCCAGCTACTCGGAAGGAGAGGCAGAGAATTGCTTGAATCTGGGAGGTGGAGGTTGCAGTGAGCCAAGATCACGCCCAGCTTGGGCAACAGTACAAGACTCCATCTCAAAAAATAAGTAAATAAATAATAAAAAATAAAAAAAAATACAGGGAAGCATTTCCTAAATACACTTTCCCTGAGAATGACAACAAAGTACCTTTATCTTGGTCAAGCCTTAGAAAGTAAATATTGAATGAGATAAAGTGTACATTATCTCATTACTTTATCTTATTTAATATTTACTTTCTCCTCCAATAACCTGGTAAGTAGACATTAATTTTTGCCACTCTACATAGGAGGAAATTGAGGTTTTAACAGAACTTTGCTCAAAGTTTGAAGCAAGATTTAAACCCAGGTCTGTCTGACTCTAAAGCTCTACTCTGCTCATTGTTCTCTCTCTCATATGAAATATTAGAGTGCAAAGTGGCAGTTCTTGGATCAATTCTGAGAAGAGACTTTCCATTAGGGCTGCCAGGATTGTCTGTGGGAAGGTCATGGACATAGAGGCCTGTGGGGCTGTGGTGTTAGGCTGAGCAGCCAGCTGTGACCAGTGGGAAGGGAGGACTGGGGAGGAGGTCTGGAGGGAGCAGGGCCTCCTGACTGCCCTGTCCTCCACTCACAGATCTGCTTTTTTCCCAGGTGTGGCTCCACAAGGCGCTGCAGCTCCCTGAACAACCTTCCCTCCAACATTCCCAGGCCTCAGACCCAGCCACCCTCAGGCTCCCGGCCTCCCTCCCAGCACAGAAGCGTCAGCTCCTGGGCATCATCCATTACTGTCCCTCGGCCATTCCGCATGACGCTGCGCGAGGCCCGGAAGAAGGCCGAGTGGCTGGGCTCACCTGCCTCCTTTGAGCAGGAGAGGCAGCGGGCCCAGAGGCAGGGTGAGGAAGAGGCCGAGTGCCACAGGCAGTTCCGGGCACAGCCTGTGCCTGCACATGTCTACCTGCCCCTCTACCAAGAGATCATGGAGCGCAGCGAGGCCCGAAGGCAGGCAGGGATCCAGAAGAGGAAGGAACTGCTCCTCTCTTCTTTGAAGCCCTTCAGCTTCCTGGAGAAGGAGGAGCAGCTAAAGGAAGCTGCTCGACAGAGAGACTTGGCAGCCACAGCTGAAGCCAAGATCTCCAAGCAGAAGGCCACCAGAAGGATTCCCAAGTCCATTCTGGAGCCAGCCCTTGGGGATAAACTCCAGGGTAAAGACATCCTTGCCACCTTGCTGCCTCCTGCCTCGGGGAACCAATCCCACCATAGGGATTTAGTCAGGGCCCAGGGATCTGCCTGGCTTGGAGATTTGCTGCTTGGGTGGACCCACTAGAGGCTGCACGCTTAGTGCAGGCCATTGGGGAGGGTTAGGTCTGTCTATACAATCAGGACCTGTATGGTGCCAGGAGTGAGAGGTCCCACAGTGTCCCCAAGGCTCGTCCTGTTGACATCTAAGTGAATGCACATGAGGGCCTCTGCACCAGCACAGGTGCAGGAATAGAGAACCAGTGAGACACCTGAGGACCAGCTTGGGCTCATGCCACCACCAGCACACTGCCCTGAGATGCTCCCCCATGGCTCCTTCGTCCTGGTGAGGTAGTGTCAATCGCCGAAATTACCTGGGGGATGATTATTTACACATTTCCAAAAGTATAGCTCCAAATAAGGGGCTCAGGCTTTATTCACTTTTCGGTAGCATGTGCCATGCTCCAGGCACTGTGCCATGGTGAACACACAGACATGGAGTTTGTAGATATGTGAGGAAAACAGATAAAGACAAATACATACAAATGTGGCGAGTTATTTACAAGGATTAAAAGGGGAAGCATGGGAGCATATATCAAAGGGACCTAACCCGGGGATTGGTGAAGCAAGGGAGCAGTTAGGGAAGGTCCCCTGAGAAAGTGGGCCCTGGGGCTGAACTGAAGGAGGGGCGAAGAGGGAGGAGAAGTGGAGCAGGCAGAATGTGGCATGGAGGGGAGAGAAAGCAGAGCATCTGCAAGGGATGGAAAGGTCGAGGGCTGAGAGAAGAGGGAGTGGGAAGGAAGAGGCAGGCATGGGCCAGACATGAGGAGCTTTGCAAGCCACGTTGGCGAGTCTGGACTTCATCCCAAGGGCACAGGGAAGCCACTGAGGGAGTGAGGCAGGGTGGCCCATGATCAGAAATATAGTTCAGAAGGATCCTTCTGATTGCTGTATAGATAATCTGAGAGGGCAGCAAGACTGGAGGGATGTTGAGCCAAGAGGAAGCTATTTCACAATTCAGTAGAGAAATTGTGCAACTGGTTGCAGGGATGAAAAAACGAGGATGGACTGGAGAGAGGTTAAAGAGGAGGAAATGACAGAACTTGTGACTGATGAGAGACACGGAGGAGTCAGTGATGTGGGCAAAGGGCCTGGGCAGCTGGGTGGATGGTAGGGCCTTTCTCTCAGATGGGGAAACCTGGGAGAGGAGCAGGTTACTGGCCCACTTCCTCTGCTTCATCTCTGAAGAAGCAATCATAGAAAGTGCTCAGTAAGTGTAGATGGTCACTGCTTCTGCAGCCTGATTGACACAGGCAGTGGTGTTCTGGATGACATTTATTAACAAGCTCTCCAGAAAAAAAAAAAAGGAAGCTGGTTTGTAATGTTTGTTATTTTCTGTGGCATAATTACTCCTATTCAGGCCATCTGCAGGCATCTCACAGGATGTTAACGTGTCAGAATTCCTGAAAAGTTCCTACTTGCCTCCAGTAACACTTACAGCTAGTGTGTAAAAGAGGGAAAGTTCTCCAACCCTGTAGGTTTCTTGCTTGGTCCTTTCTTACCCATCACCATCCTTTCTCCACAGAAGCTGAGCTCTTCAGGAAAATTCGCATCCAAATGAGAGCCCTGGACATGCTCCAGATGGCCTCTTCCCCTATCGCCTCCTCTAGTAACCGGGCTAACCCACAGCCCCGCACAGCCACCCGAACCCAGCAGGAAAAGCTTGGGTTTCTGCACACTAACTTCAGATTCCAGCCTCGGGTGAATCCTGTGGTCCCTGACTATGAGGGCCTTTACAAGGCCTTCCAGAGAAGAGCAGCCAAAAGAAGAGAAACCCAAGAGGCCACTCGCAACAAGCCCTTCTTGCTGAGGACCGCCAACCTGCGCCACCCTCAGCGGCCCTGTGATGCTGCCACCACCGGAAGGAGGCAGGTGAGAGCCCAGGCAGCTGTGGGAGGGTCAGGGCTGCGGCCTGAAATACAGGGTGGGGCCAGGTCTTCCTGGAAAGCACTTCTCAACAAGGTTTTCCTATCTTTTTTTTAAACACCAGCTCAGTTGTAAGCAGATTCACTTTCCTATAAACTCCAGACCACAGCCCAGCCTGGGCAACAGAGACCCCATCTCTAAAAGAAAAATACAAATATTTGCCACATGTGGTGGTGTGTACCTGTAGTTCCAGCCATTCAGGAGGCTGAGGTGGGAGGACCTTCTGGCTGCAGTGAGCCAAGATGATGCCACTGTACTCCAGCCTAGGCAACAGAGTGAGACCCCATCTAAAAACAACAACAAAAAACAGGCCAGGCGTGGTGGCTCACGCCTTTAATCCCAGCACTTTGAGAGGCCGAGGAGGGCAGATCATCTGAGGTCAGGAGTTCGAGACCAGCACGGCCAACATGGCAAAACCCCATCTCTACTAAAAATACAAAAATTAGCTGGGTGCGGTGGCGGGCACCTGTAATCCCAGCTACTTCAGAGGCTGAGGTAGGAGAATTGCTTGAACCTGGGAGGCGGAGATTGCAGTGAGCTGAGATTGTGCCACCGCAGGCCAGCCTGGACAACAAGAGTGAAAGTTCATCTCAAAAACAGAACACAACAGAAACCATAGGGACACTTCTTTTCCTCCCTTACTGTAGAAGGATTTCACAGAAATAAGTCCAAGCAGGCTTGAGAGGCAAGGAGTTGGGATCAGTTGTTGATGTCTCTATACCAATTCCAAGGAACTCTTCTCATTTGACTAAAAACTTTAGGATTGATATCCAAGTCTTGGCTTGGTTGTGAAACTTGAGATCTCTTTATCCTTGCCTTATTCCCAGGAAAAAAAATGAAGATTCTCATTTTCAGTCCTTCAGTGAAGCTGAATCCTAGTAAAGATAGAAAATGGCTGGGCGCGGTAGTTCACACCTGTAATCCCAGCACTTTGGGAGGCCGACACGGGTGGATCACCTGAGATCAGGAATTCGAGACCAGCCTGACCAACATGGTGAAACCCCGTCTGTACTAAAACTGCAAAAATGTAGCTGGGCATGGTGGCTCACAACCTGTATAGTCCCAGCTACGTGGGAGGCTGAGGCAGGAGAATTGCTTGAACCAGGCAGCTGGAGGTTGCAGTGAGCCGAGATTGCGCCACTGCACTCCAGCCTGGGCAAAAGAGCGAGACGAGACTCTGTCTCAAAAAAAAAAAAAAAAAAAAAAGATAGAAACTAATCACACATGCTGTCCCACCAATACCAACCTTTGTTTCTTCTAGGATTCCCCACAGCCACCAGCTACACCCCTGCCAAGGAGTCGTTCTCTGAGCGGCCTTGCTTCCCTCTCTGCCAACACTCTCCCTGTGCACATCACAGATGCCACCAGGAAGAGGGAATCTGCAGTCAGGTGAGTGGTCAGGCTGCACGAGACCCATGCTCTGATTCTGGCCCCAAATGCTGGAAACCTCCCTGCCAAGGGGCCTCCTTTCCTGTTATCAGAGATACCTCAAGGGGTCAAAGGGAATTTTCTGATCAGGACTGGAACAATTGCGGTTCTCCACACCTGGTGCTTGGAGAACAGCTAGCCATCATTCAGCACATATTCATAGTGGGCTTATTCTGTGCCAGGCACAGTGTTAAGGCTGGAGATCTTAGGGAACCTCCAGTTTATTATCTAGTCTGAAATACAGAAAAGCAAAGAAGCAATGGCCATATTTTTTGAGTAGTGCAATGATGGGGGGTAAAGGGGACTGTGAGGGCACTGGGCAGCCTGGAGCAGGGGGGTCTTGTCTTGTGGAATAGATGTCTAAAGTGAAACTGAAGAACAAGGAAGAGTTCGCCAGACAAAGCCTGGAGAGAAGGAAGGTTCCAGACAGAGAGAACATGGATAAAAGCCCATGGGTGAGAGGAAGGGAGTAGTGAGGAACAAGAATTCAGAGAAGCATGCTAGCAGGTGGCTGAAGTTGCCGCAAATATGAGACATCCATTGCATAGATTTGAGATTCTCTGAGATTCATCTTGGGAAGATGTCAGAGTCTGTTGGGCAGCAAGAGCCTGCTTATTTTTAACTCTTCAACTGACCTGATTCTGTTATGATGTTCTCATTAAGCCAGCCCCCAGCAAGGGTTCTTCCACCAGGCTTCTGAGCTGAAGTAGGCAAGAGAGGTCATGGTGTAACAGCAGCTTAGGCCAGGGAGAGGACTAATGTCTTACTGCCTTCCCATGGGGCATGTAGGGGAGTACTCAGAACCTACTTGGATCGTTAAGCCCCACAGCAGGGATTGTAGAAGAGTATTTACGGTCCAAGGGATACTCCTTTCTTCTTCAGACTTCAGTTAGACCTACTAAATCAGGGCTAATTAATTGCTCAGTATCCTGAGGGCCCAAGAACACAGGCCTCCTGAACAAAGAGGCTGGCCTTCCTATAGAGGACATCCACATCTGCTTTCCAGCCACAGGGAATCTGACATATTAACAGATTAAATTTTCATGTCCTTCTTCCCAGTATGTCCATTTGAATATAAACATCCAAATATAAGAGTCTTGGTTGATTTTCCTTTTGGAAGAACTCAACATATTACTTTGTAGATAACTGAACAAACTAAGTGCTACAAGTTGAACCCAAATAGTCTGCACTGAGGGAGGCTCATTTCCAGTTCTCTCTGAATGTGCAGATTTGTATTCCCAAAGGACCATGAACCCAGACACCTTCCAGCCCACTGTTTCCAGCAGAGTGGTCAAGGCCAGAGGCTTCGGAGTCAGAGGTCCTGGTCCAATAGGGGCTTTTCCACTGGCATGCTGGGTAGCTTTGAGCAAGGGGCTTACCTCCTTTGAGCCTCAATCACCTCCCCTATAAAAAGGGAATTTAGTATTTACCTCATAAGGCAGTTATGAGGACAATGTGAAATGTAATGGTACTTGGTTCATAATAAGGAGCTCAGTAAATGGTAGCTATTAGTATTATTTTGTATCCAGATAGGCGAAGACCTATTGAATGTTGGACTGTTTAAGTAAGGATATATATATTTTTTTTCGAGACAGAGTCTTGCTCTGTCGCCCATGCTGGAGTGCAATGGCGCAATCTCAGCTCACTGCAACCTCTGCCTCCCGGGTTTAGTGATTCTCCTGCCTCAGCCTCCCAAGTAGCTGGGATTACCGGCACGTGCCACTACACCCAGCTAATTTTTTTTGTAGTTTTGGTAGAGACAGGGTTTCACCATGTTGACCAGGCTGGTCTCGAACTCCTGACCTTGTGATCAGCCCGCCTCAGCCTCCCAAAGTGCTGAGATTACAGCCATGAGCCACCGTGCCCGACCTAAGTAAGGATATTTTAACTGACGTTTCTCCAGTTCAGTAAATGCACTTCTAGGGTAGGAACTCACTGTGTCCCTAGTGCTGGAAAGGCTTCATCTGCCAGTGCATTTAATCCTAGAATTTTATTATTTTTAAAAATGGCAGTTGAGGTAAATTACATGCCCCATTCATTAAAAACACCAACTTACTTTCCAGAAAAGGTTACTAAGATTGCTTTATTTTATTTATTTATTTATTATTATTTTTTGAGACGGAGTCTCTCACTGTCGCCCAGGCTGGAGTGCAGTGGCACGATCTCGGCTCACTGCAAGCTCCGCCTCCCAGGTTCATGCCATTCTCCTGCCTCAGCCTCCCGAGTAGCTGGGACTACAGGCGCCCACCACCGCACCCGGCTAATTTTTTGTATTTTTAGTAGAGATGGGGTTTCACAGTGTTAGCCAGGATAGTCTCGATCTCCTGACCTTGTGATCCGCCCGCCTCGGCCTCCCAAAGTGCTGGGATTACAGGCATGAGCCACCATGCCCGGCTATTTTATTTTATTTTATTATTATTATTATTTTTGAGACGGAATTTGATCTGTCGCCCAGGCTGGAGTGCAGCAGTGCGATCTTGGCTTATTGCAACCTCTGCCTCCCGGGTTCAAGCGATTCTCTTGCCTCAGCCTCCCGAGTAGTTGGGATTACAGGTGCACACCACCATGCCCAGCTAATTTTTGTATTTTTAGTAGAGCTGGGGTTTCACCGTATTGGCCAGGCTGGTCTTGGACTCCTGACCTCAGGTGATCCACCTGCCTTGGCCTCCCAAAGTGCTAGGACTACAAGTGTGAGCCACCACACCTGGCCTAAGATTGCTTTTCAGTATACCCAGGTTGGTAATCTATACTCTTTTTCTGCCTCCTTCCTTTAGAAGTGCACTTGAAAAAAAGAACAAAGCAGATGAGAGTATTCAGTGGCTGGAGATACACAAAAAGAAGTCTCAAGCAATGTCCAAATCTGTGACCTTGCGTGCAAAAGCCATGGATCCCCATAAAAGCCTGGAGGAAGTGTTCAAAGCAAAGCTGAAAGAGAACCGGTCAGTGTCCTCTATGTGTCAAAAGGGGTGCTTGCCTTGGGATCCAACAGACCACTGGCCTATTGCCAGAAAATGCAAAATAGAGTTATCGAGGTAGGTAGGCTCCTGTAATCACAGCAGGGTCATGATTTTCCAAGTCAGATAGGAATTTACAGTGTACACGAGAGTTACACTGCTTTACTGGAAATGAAGGGTATTCTGGATTAGAAAAGATGAAATTCTTTCTAAAAGTCTTGCTAATTCCAGGAACAATGACCGTAAAAGAGCGAAAGAATATAAGAAAGAACTGGAGGAAATGAAGCAGCGAATACAAACAAGGCCCTATCTCTTTGAACAAGTTGCCAAGGTAAAACTAAACCATCATTTGTTTTCTTTCTGCCTTAGATAAAAGGACTCTGAAAAATTACAAAACAATTTTAATATGTGGGTATTAAAATTTTCCTTGAGGCCCAGAAATTCTAATTTCACTACTACCTTCTTTTCCCAAAATAAATAGTACAATAGAGAATGCTGCTTGTGTTGATTTCATCCAAGAGTGGACTCCAAAGGCATCGATAAAGGGATATTTCACTTCCTAGAGCTTTCACTGTAGTCTACCATTCAGATTTCATCAGACTGGGCATTAGACCCCAGAGACACAGGGACCATTTGGCTCTTTCTATGCTCTGGAGCCACTGTTCACAGTGCTGGAAAGGTATCTCTCCTCTGGCAGTGCTGCTGGCCCTGGGCCTCCCCAGCCTCTAGAGCTGTGGTATATTTATAGGTCTCCAAGCATTAGGATGCCCACAAACACCCTGCAAGGCTTTCTCTAGACTAAGTGGCTTTCAGGCTGGAAGCCTGAAATTTTTTTTTCTTCTTTTATTTTGTATGCATGTGTATGTGTGTGTGAGTGTGTGTTCCTTATGGAGCAGGGCTAACCCATAGGCAGTGTACCCGAAGTATCCTGGAAGAGTATCATTTTAAGATATTCTCTGTAGACTTTTAGGGATGTTGGACTCAGCTGAGATCTCCGTAAGGATGTAAGGATGCTCTGTTTCTACTGCATTAGGCTCTGTGGATCTCTTTCCTCTCCAGTTTCAGACAAGTTGGGGTTCCATAGTGACCTAGTTCCAATGGCAGGGCATTAGCTCCATCTTATAGTTAGTACATTGTCTAGGCATTTGCTGGCTCCACTTCCTCCTCCCTCCATAAATCTTTCTCCTCTCACACACATAAGCACACATGGTCTTGGATTTACTTAGCAACCTGCATTGTTCAAAATCTCATGCTTCTTTATGTTAATGTTAAGCAAGCTCACTCTTCAGATCTCAACAGATCTTTCACCTCTCTAGGAAAAATACAAAGTACTCTATGATTTTGTTCTTGAATACTTAAACAAAAAATAATATTCTGCTGGTCCACATGCAGACCATCTGTCCTTCCACTAAGAGTCTTGGTGTAGCTTATTTTCTATTTTATTTTAGTGTTCCTGATAATGGTTTGTTGCTTTAAAATCTTAGGTTTTTAGTCCATCCTTTTAAATCTGGGTCTCATTTGTCTCCCAAAAGTCTAAGTCATTGCTTTTCAAAATTGTGACTCCCAAATCAACAGTTTGGCATCTCTGGGGAGTGTTAGAAATACAGAATTACAGTCCTCATCTGACACCTACCAAATGTGAAATCTGCATTTTAACAAGACCTCAGGTGATTTATATACACATTAAGGCTGGAAAACAAGGGTTAAATAATTTTCTTGCAAATCTATGCCCCACAATAAGGGTGGTGGTGGTTGTGGCAGTATTGTAACAATACTGATTAAGTAATTTAGAATTGTCTGGTAATTCATAAGACAGCTACAACAGATTAATTTCCATCCCACAGGATCTAGCCAAGAAAGAAGCAGAACAGTGGTATCTAGACACCCTGAAGCAGGCTGGGCTGGAGGAAGACTTTGTGAGAAACAAGGGTCAAGGCACCCGGGCTGTTCAAGAGAAAGAGACCAAAATCAAGGATTTTCCCAGGTAACCTGAAATGTTGCTGTCATTCTGCAGCTCTCTAAATTGTCATACCCAGTAATACCACTGGGAGGAAACTTTAGAATAGCCACTGGTATTTTGAGATCATAATCCTGTATTTATGTAACATTAATAAGTAATCCAGAGATCTCCAAGTAACACATTTGAATTTAGAGAGTGATGCAGTTGTGAATAAAATCTGACAAATTATGTTTCGTTTTCTTCCATTTTGAAACAGATCATTTTCCAATTCCAGTTCCAATTTCATGAGCTGAAACTATTTCTACTTTATTTTTGAAGAAAAATCATGTATATTTTGACTTCTTATAAAACTATAAAACTGTTTTTCTAGCATTCCTTAAAGGTAGCTCATTAGTATCACCTTCTCCATAACCTTTTTTTTTTTATTTTTTGTATTTTTTTTTTGAGACAGAGTCTCACTCTGTTGCCCAGGCTGGAGTGCAGTGGCGCGATTTCTGGCTCACTGCAAGCTCCGCCTCCTGGGTTCACGCCATTCTCCTGCCTCAGCCTCCCGAGTAGCTGGGATTACAGGCTCCCGCCATCACGCCTGGCTAATTTTTGTGTATTTTTAGTAGAGACGGGGTTTCACCATGTTAGCCAGGATGGTCTCGATCTCCTCACCTCGTGATCTACCCTCCTCAGCCTCCCAAAGTGCTGGGATTACAGGCGTGAGTGACCGCGCCCGGCCCTCCATAACCCATTTTGATATTGAGTCAAAGGGAGAAAATAGTATCTTCTCTCCATTATTCTCAATTGTTTTGTATCTTAAATCCTAGCAGCCCCTACCCTAATTCCTATCTCAGTTTTATACCCCTAGAAATTTTCCTTTACATCCCATATAAAATAGTAATAATGTTGAGACTTTTTTTTTTGAGACGGAGTCTTGCTCCGTCGCCAGGTTGGAGTGCAGTGGCGCAGTCTTGGCTCACTGCAGTCTCTGCTCACTGCAGTCTCCGCTTCCCGGGTTCAAGCGATTCTCCTGCTTCAGCCTCCTGAGTAGGTGGGACTACAGGTGTCCACTACCACGCCCAGCTATTTTTTGTATTTTTAGTAGAGATGGGGTTTCACCATGTTGGCCAGGATGGTCTTGATCTCTTGACCTCGTGATTCACCTGCCATGGCCTCCCAAAGTGCTGGGAGAGACCGTTCTTAAACCTTACACAGTGCTTTAAGACTTTCTTTTTTCAGACTGGGCACGGTGGCTCACGCCTGTAATCCCAGCACTTTGAGAGGCTGACGTGGGTGGATCGCTTGAGCCCAGGAGTTTGAGACCAGCCTGGGCAACATGGCAAAACCCTGTCTCTACAAAAAGTTAAAAAAAAAAAAAAAATTAGCTGGGTGCAGTGGCACGTGCCTATAATCCCAGCTACTTGGGAAGCTAAGGTGGGAGGATTGCTTGAGGTGGGAGGGTTGCTTCAGCTGGGCTGTCCAGGCTGCAGTGAGCTGAGATCATGCCACTGCACTCCAGCCTGGGTGAGAGTGAGACCCTGTCTGAAAAAAAAATTTTTTTTGTTTTTCATGTTTTAATTTATTCTGCAGGTTCCAAGAAACTACAAAACTCAGCATCAGAGATCCAGAGCAGGGTTTAGAAGGATCTCTAGAACAGCCTGCAAGCCCCAGGAAAGTACTGGAGGAGCTGTCTCATCAGTCACCAGAAAATCTCGTATCACTTGCTTAATCACTACACTTAAAATTACTGCTTTTGAAAAATATTAAGCAGCTAACTTGGGTTTGAGTCAAGGCAGGGAAAACTTGGGTTTTGAGTCATGGCTACTGTTAGAGGATGGACAAATGAAGAGTAGCAGATTAACAGGCCAGGCGCAGTGGCTCACGCCTGTAATCCCAACACTTTGGGAGGCTGAGGCAGGCAGATCATCTGAGGTCAGGAGTTTGAGACCAGTCCAGCCAACACGGCAAAACTCCACCTCTACTAAAAATACAAAAATTAGCTGGGCGTGATGACACGTGCCTGTAATCCTAGCTACTTGGGAAGCTGAGGCAGGAGAATCACTTGAACCCAAGAGGCAGAGGTTGTAATGAGCTGAGATCACTCCACAGCACTCCAGCCTGGGCAGCAGAGCAAAACTCTGTCTGAGAAAAAAAAAGAGCAGCAGATAACAGAGAATAGTTCAAGGAAATCAAAGTGGGGAGGCTCAGGTGGAGGGATGGTAGCCTAAAGTTAAGGGTTCCTGCTTTGTGCCTCACACTTAGAGAATTAGGTACAGAAAAGAGAGCACAGGCCCAAATGCCTATAAGGGGCTAGTGCAGAAACATAAATGCGTCCATGGAGTGGGTGTAGACAGTAGGAGATAGTAGACACTGGAAAGTATCAAATCCTGCTGGAATATAGGCTCAGAGTTACTACATCAACTACATTTTCATCAAGCCAGAAATTTGTATGCTATCAACTAATTTAAAAATTACTTAGAAATATTGTATGGGCAAAATAAAATACATCTGCATATCAGATCTAGCCCATGGGGGATGAAAAACTTACAACTTCTAGTACAGGATTTCTTATCCTCAGTGCTATTAATATTTTGGGCCACCTAATTCTTTGTTGAGGGTTGGGGAAGGGAACTGTCCTGTACATTGTAGAATGTTTAGTAGCATCCCTGGCCACTACCTGCTAGATGCCAGTAGTACCCCTCTCCCCAGCTGTGACAACCAAAAATGTCTCCAGATATTGCATATCCCCAGGGGGCAAAAATGTGCCTGGCTGAGAACCACTGCTCTAATATAAATGGCTGCATGAAGCAAAAACTGGCATTCTAAGAATACAAGTAATTGCCATGAACACAGTCTATGTACTATGTGATTATGCATGTCATTAACAAATTAAGAATTTAAAACAATTCTCTCCCGTTATCTGTTTAGAATGTGCCTGTGTGTTTATGTGAGCATGAGGTTCATTTTAAGTAAACTTAAAATTTCCCAGACAACCAAGATTTTCTACTAGTAGGTGAACTTTGGAATAATTTTCTTCTCACCAATAATAATTGGATATTCTGGCTCGGTGCAGTGGTTCATGCTTGTAATCCCAGCACTTTGAGGGGCCAAGGCAGGAGGATCGCTTGAAGCCAGGCGTTCAAGACCAGCCTGGGCAACACAGACCTCATTTCTACCAAAAAAACCACAAAAAGTTAGCTGGACTGGTGGTACATGCCTATAGTCCTAGCTATTCAGGAGGCTGAGGTGGGAGGATGCCTTGAGCGTAGGAGTTCAAGGTTACATTGAGCTATGATTACACTACTGCACTCCAGCCTGGGTGACAGAGCAAGACCCCATCTCAAATCATAATGATGATGAGTGGATATTTTCTCAGTAGCTGTGGAGACAGGATGACTGATAGCAAGAGTGCCTGCTCTAACTAAAGCACCTTTCTCAAGCTTTTTTAAAAAAACTATCTTTGTGGAAAAATTCAGAAGTATCTGTTTTTATTGCCATTTTCTCAGATGCGTCTTTTTTGGTGGTGACAGAGTAACTATCACCTGGGCTTAAGAAATGAAGATGTTCTTGTTGTTTCCTAAGACTCCTCGGTTCAGTTTTACTGGTATGGAATCCTAAGGGTAAATCAATACACTATTTTAAAGGGAAAGATTAAATTCTTAATCTCTAAGAAAACAAATTTTGTATAAAACAAGAGCCAAAGAACTGACTGGGCTGTTTTGTTTATTTAAAGGAAAACCTGAATCTCTGCATCATGTAATTTTTAACTTTAAAAAAACAAAAACATGAAATCCCTCTTAACATGCTACTGTATGTTCCATTAACGAAGAAAGCAAAGTGACCAAGTAGAAGTGTATAGGACAAGATAGTACCTCAGCCTGGGCCAAGGGGAGATTCAAGTAATTTATTTTTTTGCAGCCCAGTGGCAGAGAGTCTCTTACTCAGGTTGCTAAAGGGAGAATGTAACAAGAGAATTGACATCACTCCCTTCTTCAAAGCAACAAGGCATCTTGAAAACTCAACTTCCTGGTGAAGCTCTGTTGTTGGTAGCAGGAATTATTTCATCCATGTGAAAAGACAGCTGAGTCTGGGATGAAAACTCTTCAAAGGAAAACCTCCCCTCAACAGTCAGAATGAAGAACTTCAGCCAACACATAATCAAATTCACTTTTGGTCTATCCCAGAAATTTGCAGTGGGAAGAGAGGTAGGTACAGTTTCCCAGCCCACAGTCATTGCTTCATTCCTTGTCTGATCAGATGGTAGTTAGAAAAGAAGCTCTCCTACATCCATCTTCTATACCAGGAAAGAGGAAGAGTGGCAAAAGCAGAGTCTTGTGCCTTCAAAGATTCATTCTGGTTCTGTTGTGGGCTAAGGCATCCTGTTCCCAGTATACGCATTTTGAGATCAGATAGAGTTGCTCTTCCAGGAGTCAGCACCCACGCTCATGTCCGTCTTTCAGTTAAATCTCCTTGGTTTAGTAACTGTAAAAGATTGAAAGCAAATCTAGAATAGGTTACAGTTGAATTATAGAAAAAATAATTCATAGTAAAAAGTATTAAGAGTGGAGGATGGAGAATGCACTACAGGGGTGAATGAAGGCTATCTACTTCCAAAGCAAACACATGCACGGACTGATAGATGTCACTGTGGCCTTGGGACAGCACTTTAGCCATGTCATAAGGCTGGCATTTTAACTCTGGCAATCAAATATTCTGAGTCTATAAGCCAAACTATTGTTTGTGTAGTTACCTACTCATCAGTCAGTGACAGAGGAATCTCTAACTTACAGGGAAAACAGAAATGGTGGAACCAAAATCTTATACGTGTCAGCCAAAGGATAGGCTGAAGGCTCAAGTAGGAGAAGGAAATAGGAAGAGGAGCTGTTCCTTTATAAGTACTATATGAGAGCTGAAACCCACTCATAAAAGATCTAGGGGTTCCTTGGGCTTAAAAGAATGATAAGCCTAAGGGACTCCTGCATAATGGCAACTACCACTAACATTCTACTCTATACACAAGGCTCTATTCAAAGGAGTTTTGAAATAATGAAATTGGCTTCCATTTTAATATAAAAACAAAATGAGGCTGGGTGCAGTGGCTCACATCTGTAATCCCAGCACTTTGGGAGGCTGAGGCAGGAGAACTGCTTGAGACCAGAAATTTGAGACCCACTTGGGCAACACAGTGAGGCCCTGTCTCTACAAGAAAATTTTAAAAATTAAGCATGGTGGTACATGCTTGCAGTCCTAGCTACTTGGGAGGCTGAGGGAGGAGGATCACTTGAGCCCAGGAGTTCAAGGGTGCAGTGAGCTATGATCATGCCACTGCACTGCACTCCAGCCTGAGTGACAGACTGAGACTGTTTTCAGACACACAAAAATGAGATGGGAACAATTCAGTAAAATTCAGAACAAAAACAACTTATTAAAATCTAATCAAATAAATTCTTCAGCTTGAGATGTATTTACTTGGTGATCCTAATTTGGATGAAGGTAATTTATACAGTAGAATTTAATGATTGGGCTGGGCACCATGGCTCATGCCTATAACCCCACCACTTTGGGAGGCTGAGGGAGGAGGATTGCTTGAGGCCAGAAATTTGAGATCAGCCTGGGCAACATGGTAAGACACTGTATCCACCAAAAAAACTTTTTTTTAAGAGTTTAATTATATGGAATTTAAAGACTTTTAAACAAAATCTAAAGAAAAAATTAAACCTTAAAGAAACCACATATTCCATTTGATGCTGTGTGGCAGGAAAGTTAAGAATAGTGTGTTTTTAATGGAGGCCAAGATCCAGATCTTTGCAGTCAAACTTAGCAAAGGTACTTTATGAGAAATATTATAGAATTTGTAATTTCTATTTGTGCCTTGATTTGGAAAGCATTCTAAGAGGTAGTCAAAACTAGCTGGGAATCTCTTATACTGGTTCTTGAGTTCAAGAATGTGAACTCAATGTAAATATGGAGCCCCATTTAGAATGACCTTTAGTAAGTATGACAGCCCAAAAGCCCTGGGGTTCCCAGTTGGGCCTGTGCAATGAGTCCTCCATCTAATTCTCAGATGTGGCACAATAATGAGGGAAAATAGAGATTGTCCACCTGAACCAGAGAGGTGACTTGTAGTTTCTGATATTTTTCCCATGGTAATTTTTCTTCTTTTTTTTTTTTAAAGAGTTTGGCTCTGTCACCCAGACTGCAGTGTAGTGGCAAGATCATGGCTCACTACAGCCTCAACTTCCTGGGCCCAAGTGATCCTCTCACCTCAGCCTCCCAAGTAGCTAGGACCAGCTAATTTTATTTTATTTTTTGTAGACATGGGGTTTTCCTGTGTTGCCCAGGCTGGTCTCAAACTCCTAAGCTCAATTGATCCTCCCACCCCAGCCTCCCAAAGTGCTAGCCACCGCACCCAGCCTCTCATGAAAATTTCTGATAACAGATTTGGTTGTTCTCTGATATTCTTGATAAGCTATTTTTATTTTTAGAGCATATTTACAGGAAGTACAAGTTCATCAGTAGACTTTGATCCATACTGCTTGGTGATCTCCAAAAAAGGTGAAACGGACATGTGTTGCAAATAGCCTTCACCTTCTCTGGCACCTGAAAGTTCTTAAGGAATCAACATTCCTCACTCACTGGAGAAATAGCAAGTTATTACCTAGACCTTGGATGAGGAAGAGGCCTAAGCCTGGAACCCTGAGGGCCTCACAGCTTGAAAAAAAACTGAAGGTATTGGAGGACCCAAACTAGTGAAGAAAGAAAAGGAGGGGATAAGCAGTGGAAATGCCTGTGATACGAGGAGGAGAATAATGCTAAAAGTGAAGAAAACACAAAAGAAGTGAGGCTCAGACAGAGGGTATGTTTGTAAATATACAAAAACCCATGAGGAAAAAGTGACAGTGCAGGATTTTGAGCTACATCCAGGACAGCACTTTCCCTTTTGTGTTGTTAATATTTTTCTAAGTGTTTTGGGCTTCCATTATGAAACTGGGTTTTGTGCCTTCCTGGAGTGAAGACCATACTTCCTTTTTTTGTTTGATTTTTGGGATAGGATCTCTCCCAGGCTGGAGTGCAGTGGGACAATCATAGTTCACTGCAGCCTCGAACTCCTGGGCTCAAGTTGATCCTCCTGCCTCAGCCTCTGGAGTAGCTGGGACTACAGGTATGCACCACTATGCCTGGATAATTTTTTAAAAAACTTTTTGTAGAGACAGGATCTTGCTCTGTTGTCCAGGCTTGTCTCGAACTTCTGGCCTCAAGTGATCCTCCCACCTTAGCTTCCAAAAGTGCTGGGATTATAGACATGATCCACCACACCCAGGTCTTTCGTTTTTTAGGCAGCCTGTGTTATGCTGTCTCCCTGAGGCTGTAAGTGGGCAGCACCTATTATACATGGATGCTCTGAGGCCAATTCCAAGACTTGTGCCTAGGTTCTAGGGAACAAATGTACTATTACTGGATATTCTGAATACACAAATCTGATCACGTCATACCCTACTTCAAACCATGCAGTGGTTCTTCAGTGCCCCCAGGATAAAATCATGCCTTGTAAGACCTTTCAAGAGACTAGCTTATCTTTCCAGCTCTCAATTTTCCTCTCCAGCCCATCTCTTCATCCCATGTCCCATCACACTCAACCCTATTTACAGTTCCACAGAGGCCCTCTACTCCCTTACCTTCTACCTTTGTACACACTGCTGTCCTTCTGCCTGTTATATTCTTCCAACTCCTACTTCTCCATCAAGATGATGTCTATTCATCCCTCCCATCTCAACTTAAACTCTAAAACATATTCTCTGACTTCTCCCAAGACTGGAACGTACTACACTTAAAAACTGCCAGTTTAGGCTGGGCGCAGTGGCTCATGCCTGTAATCCCAGCACTTTGGGAGGCCGAGGCGGGTGGATCACCTAAGGTCAGGAGTTTGAGACCAGCCTGGCCAACATGATGAAACCCCGTCTCTATCAAAAATACAAAAAATTAGCTGGGTGTGGTGGTGGCCGCCTGTAATCCCAGCTACTCAGGAGTCTGAGACATGAGAATTGCTTGAACCCAGGAGGTAGAGGTTGCAGTGGGCCGAGATTGTGCCACTGCACTCCAGCCTGGGCAACAGAGTGAGACTCCGTCTAAAAAATTAAAAAAAAAAAAAAAATTGCCGGTTGATTAATTGGTCACTTCTCCCATCCTAACCTCACTGTACAGTGCAACTCCAGCACCATATATATAGTTATGAAGGTCCTAATTCTGCCTATAAGCTATTTGAGGCAGAGACTATATTTTGTTTACTATTGTATAACTAGTACCCTGCAGAATGCCCCACACATACTAGGTATGTGGTAACTAGCCGCTGAATGAATTAAATTTTCATACATCTGGCATTTATTTGGGTAACGTGGAGAATTTTAAAGATATTTACCAATACAGGAGAGAAAAGCTCTGAGGTTTCAAATATAAAAAAGAAAAGGCTAGGTGCTGTGGGTTGGCTTGCTCGAATAATAATGTGTACTAGGTAAAAGAAAAACGAGATGGTTTTCCTGAAATGACGATTTCAGGGCAACCCTATGGTTGATGAGAGAAGTATTTCTTGTATAAAAGAATCACAATTAGGCCGGGCGCAGTGGCTCATGCCTGTAATCCCAGCAGTTTGGGAGGCTGAGGCGGGTGGATCACCTGAGGTCAGGAGTTCAAGACCAGCCTAGCCAACATGGTGAAACCCCGTCTCTACTAAAAATACAGCCGGGCGTGGTGGCACCTGCCTGTGGTCCCAGCTACTCAGGAGGCTGAGGCAGAAGAACCGCTTGAATTCGGGAGGTAGAGGTTGCAGTGAGCCGAGATGGTGCCACTGCACTCCAGCCTGGGCAACATAGCAAGACTCCACCTCAAAAAAAAAAAAAATCATAATAAACACAGAGGGAACAAGAGAATTAGGATATCACCATTTTGCAGGCCTTAATGAAAAATAGATCTAGGCTATGATCAGTAATGGTTGCCAAAACCTTTACATAACCTACCAGTCAATCTTAAGATCAACTGATTGTCATGTGCCTCCTGATGAGATGTAATAGGAAGCAAGAGCACCATTTATGAAATATTCTTGCCAAGGGGGAAAAATTGAATCTAATCAAACCTCTAAATGTAACTACCAGTTTTTAGGAAATACAGTGGATAGAGAAATTAATATTAACAAAAGGAGTCAATCAGCCAAAACCAGAATGTGGGAAAATCTTTAGGACAAAAACTCCCAATTCCTGGCCGGGCGCAGTGGCTCACGCCTGTAATCCCAGCACTTTGGGAGGCCGAGGTGGGTGGATCACTTGAGGTCAGGAGTTTGGGACCAGCCTGGCCAACATGGTAAAAGCCCGTCTCTACTAAAAATACAAAAATTAGTGGGGCTTGGTGGCAGGTGCCTGTAATCCCAGCTAATTGGGAGACTTGAGGCAGGAGAATTGCTTGAACCTGGGAGGCAGAGGTTGCAGTGAGCCGAGATCACGCCACTGCACTCTTGACCTGGGCCACAGAGTGAGACTCAGTCTCAAAACAAAAACAAAAACAAAACAAAACAAAAAACCCAGTTCCTTAAATAGATAACCATACTGAAAAAAAAGGACTATTATAAAGAGAATTAAGAGAAGTATTAAACAAATGCAATATACAGACATTGTTTGAATCCTGACTCTAGCAAACCAACCATAAGATATTTTTGAGGGGGAGGAAAAAAAGAACATAGACTATTAGAGAATACAATAAATTATTGTTATCTTTGTTTGAAGTGGTAAAGATATTATAGTTTTTAATATTGTATCTTGTTAGAGGCATATACTGAAATATATACAGAAGAAATGACATGCCTACAATTTGCTTTGAAATACTCCATCATAAACAGCAACAACAACAAAAGGAGGAAAGAGATAAAACAAGAACAGTATAAAGTTAATTGTGTTTTTGTCTTTTGAGACAGGGTCTCACTCTGTCACCCAGGCTGGAGTACAGTGGCACAGTCACTGCTCACTGTAGCCTCAACCTCCCAGGCTTAGGTGATCCTCCTACTTCAGCCTCCCGAGTAGTTGGGACCACAGGCACATGCCACCACGTCCCGCTAATTTTTTTTTGTATTTTTTGTAGAGATAGGGGTCTTATGTTGCCCAGGCTGGTCTTGAACTCCTGGATTCAAGCAATCCACTTGCCTCCACCTCCGAAAGTGCTGGGATTATAGGCATGGGCCACTGAGCATGGCATAAAGTTAACTGTCAAAGTTAGGGCCAAGTGCGGCAGCTCACACCTGTAATCCCAGCACTTTGGGAGGCTGAGGCGGGTGGATCACTTGAGGTCAGGAGTTCCAGACTAGCCTGGCCAACAGGGTAAAACCCTATCTCTAATAAAAATACAAAAATTAGCCGGGTTTGGTAGTGGGTGCCTGCAATCCCAGCTATTCAGGAGACTGAGGCAGGAAAATTGCTTGAACCTGAGAGGCGGAGGTTGCAGTGAGCTGAGATCGCACCACTGCACTCCAGCCTGGGCGACAGTGGGACTCCATCTCAAAAAAAAAAAAAAGTCAAAGTTAGGAGACAGGTGTGAGCTGCCGCTCTCAGCCGTAACTTCGACTTCGACGTGGGTTTATCATACTAGTCTCTCTCTCACTGTACTCTGAAAATTTCCATAATAAAAGCTTTAAAATAGAAAAATGAAGACAAGAAAAATGGAGGAGAAAGAGGAAGGCTCCGTAAGTGAGATATGTATGATTCATTCCAAAGCAGTTACCAGAAAAAGTGACTTAGGAAAGAACCAATGATATCAAGATCAAAAACTTTAAATATAAGCAAAGACAATGGGTCACAACAATAAAAAGAAAAGTCCTGGCAAAAGCATTAACATGTATGCCCAGAACCCTGTAATCCTGGGTACCCCCAAAGATATTAGAGAATAATGGAGAATATTCAATATAGGATGCAGAGTCATTTGAATGATGCAACAGCTTACTGTGGTATAAAGGTTATAATGAAAAGAAGAAGGCTGGGTGCAGTGGCTCACGCCTGTAATTCCAGCACTTTGGGAGGCTGAGGTGGGCAGATCACGAGGTCAAGAGATCGAGACCATCCTGGCCAACATGGTGAAACCCTGTCTCTACTAAAAATACAAAAAAATTAGCTGGGCGTGGTGGCACGCACCTGTAGTAGCAGCTACTCAGGAGGCTGAGGCAGGAGAATCGCTTGAACCTGGGAGGCAGAGGTTGCAGTGAGCCGAGAACGCACCACTGCACTCCAGCCTGGGCAACGGAGCGAGACTCTGTCTCAAAAAAAAAAAGAAAAGAAAAGAGGAGAAAAGACGGAAGAGCACCATAAAAACTAATGTAATACTGAAAGGATCCAAGCTACAGAGGTTTTGACAAAAGTTTATGCATATGAAATGTGCTCGTGATGAAGTCATCCACTCCCATGACACAAGACCAGTGAAATATCCCAAGATTTTAAAACACTGACCACTTTGCATTCTGTTTCCTGAGTCAAAGCCAAACTACAGAGTTGAAAGTGCTTTAGCTCAACCTCAAACCCTTTTTGTTTAGATCAGAAGTCACCAACCCCCAGGCCATGGACCAGCACTGGTCCGTGCCCTGTTAGGAACCAGGCCACACAGCAGGAGGTGAGCAGCAGGTGAGCAAGCATTACCACCTGAGCTCCACCTCTCCTGTCAGATCAGCAGCAGCAACAGATTCTCATAGGAGCGCAAACCCTATTGTGAACTGTGTATTTGAGGGATCTAGGTTGCGCACTCCTTATCAGAATCTAATGCCTGATGACCTGAGGTGAAACGAAACCGGTCCCTGGTGCCAAAAAGGCTGGAGACCATTGATTTAGGTAATGGTTCTCACTTAGCAAGCAAGTGAACAAATCTGTATATGCCCATTTGGTTAAGCCTGGTATCTCCCAGACATATGACCATAGCAGAATGAACAATAATTATGTTTAATGATTTTGTTACTACCTTTTTTGCTGAGGGACTTTTTCCAGGATGTTATTTCTGGAGAAAAGAAAGGGATCTCTAGGAAATACTTGCTCCTGTCTGGTACAGAAATTTCACCCAATTTACACAGGCCAGGCCCTCTTCTCTGAATAACTTAACAGGTGAGGTCAACATGCATTTATTCAGTGCCTGCTGTGTGCTTTTATAAAATAAAAGCTGTATCATGTTATAGTGTGGCAGAGAATAGTGGGAACAGACATCAACAAGGAATGTATATAAAAGAACTTTAAAGCCGGGAGTCCCAGCTGTGACAGACCAATCTCCAATTCATTAAGACCCTAACCCTCAGGCTCCTTTCAAGCTGAACTCATGCTTAATTTAAAGGAAAATATTCGTGCCAAAGTTTCCAGGAAATGGAAACTGGAGACTTTTTCAGGTCCTCTAAATTCTCAATCATTCCCCACATGAATTGTCACAGAAACAAAGGGCAAGAGACCACTTTACCTCTTGTGGATTTACTGCAGTTAAGACAGAAACTTCATATGATTGCCTCCCTGACTGCATGGTCACCAGGTGATGTGTCACATCAGGCACTGAAGACAGGGAACGTGGGGATCCTTCAGCAAGCACCTCTGTGAAGCAACAGAAAAATGTTTCAATGAAAAGTGAATCCAGAGATACACCTATCTGGATCATTAAGCCTCTCATTAACAACTCTAAAACTCTATTCCTCTATTTCCCACATTCCTCTATTTCTTCCAAGTTAATCCTGTCTGATAAGCATTATCAGTGAATTTGGAAAGTAATATAAAAAGAGAATAGAAAGGCAAGAAATCTTAATACAGGATTTAGAATAATATGGTGTTAGCACTTTTAACTGAATTAAAACTATGTATGAAACAGGCAAAAGTCTTAGGCAAGCAGGTAAGGGAACCAAAGCCACCCTTAAAAGCAGTCGCCAATGATACTAATAGCACTTACTAACTGAATATGATATGAGTAACAAAAACATAGGGTCTCACAGTTACTAAATGTTCATCAGTGGGATCACCATGAAAATCTTCTGGAAATAGTTTATGGATATACCACTTAGCCCTCAAAAAACTAGAAGTTTCTTCTAGGGGTTTTCTAGATTATACAACTATTTTATGCTGTACCATATAATTTAATGTTGGCTTATATACTATCTTTTATGTACTCAATGTTCTTTCCCATATATATGTAAGCTTTCACTTCTCAACTGGATTTTAAGGTCCCTATCTTCTACTTTTGTCTTTCCCATGGTGCCAGGCACACAGTAGGCACTGAATAAATGCATGCTGACCTCACCTGTTAAGTTTTTCAGAGAAGAGGGCCTGGCCTGTGTAACTTGGGTGAAATTTCTATACCAGAGAGGAGCAAGTGTTTCCTAGAGAGCCCTTTCTTTTCTCCAGAAGATATGGCTTTTGAAGGTATGGAGAAATTGCTTTATATCTCCTCTGTAAAACCTGGTTATGTTCTGTTTAAATGTTCTAAAAGTTAAGTTCTTCCATAACTGCAATAGGAAAGATAGAAATAGTTGGGCTAGGATGCTAGGATTAGGAATAATTTTTTCTTAAGAATTTTTTCTTTTTATTCTTTTATTATATTATCTTCAATGAAAAAAAATTTTTTTTTAAACAGATTGACTAATCCACCCCAGAGAATAAGAACACAAATGCTACTCATACCACAGCTACTCATAAGAAATGAGATTTAAACATACATTGTGGAGACACCCCATTCCTTAGCCCCTAGTTGCAGCCCATTTTTCCCAAATAAAGGAGAGTTGGAAGTCTTACCATCATCAACTCCCAGGATAGAATTGGTATTTGGTAGGTTCAAGGACTCTCCACCAAGGCTGGGCTGGGAATTCATAGACACCAGGTTTTTACTGGGTACTGAAGCCTCTTCAAGCAAACTACTGCCCATTAGTGGCTCAGCTGCACAGAGAATAGGTTGTGAGAGACATACAGCAATCAAGGCTGTGCCTGGTCCTCATTTTCTTTCAACAGAAGCTGGCCTTCTCTTTCATTACTAGAAGTTAACCTATAGATGGGATGCCACCCCCTATTTCACCTACTTTCGAGAAACAAGAATAAACCTAGAAGGGAAAGAGTAAGCCTTAGAAGATAATGATCCTTGCTTGTGTTCAGCGTCTGAAGAATTAGCATATGAAACAGGATAGGTGGATCTTTAGAAAGGAATATTTGGAATAATTAAGGAAAGATATGGCGAAGGAATAAGAATTAAAAAGAGTTATCAAATTTCAGGCAGGGCAAAAAGGTAGTCATGACTGGTAAATAAAATATGCTTCCAGCCTGGCCAACATGGTGAAACCCCGTCTCTACAAAAATATAAAAATCAGCCAGGTGTGGTGGCACCTGCCTATAATCCCAGCTACTCAAGAGGCTGAGGCAGGAAAACTGCTTGAACCCAGGAGGCAGAGGTTGCAGTGAGTCGAGATGGCGCCACTGCACTCCAGCCTGGGTGACAAAGCAAGACTCCATCTAAAAAAATTAAAAAGCTTAAACTCTTCCCATGTGGAAATCTTTTATCACTGTGTTACTCAAATGCTTGTTCATGGATCAGCACTAGTTACCATCAAACTCACTAGGGAAACTTTTAAAACTACAGATTCTAGGATCTTGCAAATTATCTCATTTATCAGATTGCTTTGTTTTATTGGTGGGCGGACAAGCAACAAAAAGTATATAAATTTTAAAAGGTTGCAGATGATTCTACTGTATAGCTATGTTTGGAAACCATCAGCCCATCAAATGAGACCAGGTCTATCTACCCAAAACAGAATCAGAAAATTTCCAGATAAGCAGGCAGGACAGTGATTTGGCTCTTGGAACCCTAGAAGTAGTACAGCGTTCCACTATGCCCACCCTCCTCACCAGTTTGCTCCTGCTCTTGACTCCCAGCTGCTCCCAGCTGCAGGTGATGCTTTCTCATATGCACATTCCTGCTTCCACTCTGAGAGAAGGTCTTCCCACAGACTTGGCACTGATGAGGCTTCTCTCCTGAAACAGGGACCAGGTTAAACAAGGAAGCCAAAAGGACAGGAAGAGAATGAACTCAAGACCTAGATGGAGAAACCCAGAGAATGTTAAACTGAACATAAGCAGCTGCTCCTTTTCCCATTCCGCACCTTCCCAGCCTCTCAAACTTCAGTATATGGGGGAAGGCAGGAAGAGTACACCAGGAGGGCTTTAGCACACTCCCTGCTCCCAGCTGCTGGTCCTTTCCAGACCTTCTGTAATGCTGCCTTCACAAAACCTCTTTGGTATAGGACCATGGCAACCACAAAAAATATGCCTTCTTTTTCAGTTAGTCTTCCATGGACCTCTAGGACATGTGCTTTCCTCAAGGATTTCAATCCTGTGTTCCTAATATCCCCTTGTCATATTCCCTGCCACCCTCTTTAGGGTCATCAACATTCACACTGGTGGCTCTTACAACATAATAATCTAAATTGTCCTCTATGTCTTCAAGTCCCAAACTCTCCGTCTCCATTCTACCTACCCAGAAAACCATACTTAGAGCAGGGGTCAAAAACTCATGTCTATAGGAGACTGATAGGTAGCAAAAGTAAGTAAAATGGCCAAGTGGGGGCTGCAGTAACCTAGAGAGTACCTAGAAAAGGGGCAGCTGTTATTCAGCTCTAGCCAACTGTTGCCATGGGTAGATTAAGGCAGATTCTCTGATTTTTTTTTAAGACACTGGAAATAAGGATTTTTAAGTAGAATCTCCCAATTTCTAAATGCTAGGAACAAATTCACAATTGACAAACACATGGTACAGCAATCATCATTGCTGATTGTATTTTGCTGGGAATGCAAAATACAAAAACCTCTTTGGGGGAATCTGACCAGATCTAGAAAAATTGTAGATGCACTTGCCCTTTGACCTAGGAATCCCACTTCTAGGAATATGTCCCAAAATTACAGCAGCAAAATGTGAAATACTCTGTGCACAAGGTTATTCATCACGGCAACATTATTTTAAATGGCTAAATACTGGAAACAACGTAAATATTCATCACAGAGACTGACTAAAAAGCTATAGATACTGCAGTAGTCCTGCATAGCAAAAAAAAAAAAAAAAAAAAAAAAACCTATACAATAGAAACAGGGTGGAATATTACAAAGCTTAGAACTAAAAACTGAATCACCATTTGAACCAGCAATCCCATTACTGGCTATCTACCCAAAGGAAAATAAACTGCTCTACCAAAAAGACACTTGCCCTCACATGTTCAATGCAGCACTATTCACAACAGCAAAGACATGGAATCAACCCAGGTGCCCATCAATGGTAAATACGATACAGAAAATGTGGCACATACACACCATGAAATACTATGCAGCCATAAAAAAGAACAAAATCATGTCCTCTGCAGCAACATGGATGCAGCTGGAGGCCATTATCTTAAGCAAATTAACACAGAAACAGAAAATCAAACACCATGTTCTCACTTATAAGCGGGAGCTAAACACTGGGTACTTATGGACACAAAGATGGGAACAATAAACACTGGGGATTCCAAAAGCGGCTACGGGGCAAGGGCTGAAAAACTACCTATCAGGTACTATGTTCACTGCTTGGTCAACAGGGTCATTAGTAGCCCAAACTTCAGCATCTTGGAATATACCCTTGTAACAAACCTGCACATGTACCCCCTGAATCTAAAATAAATTTATTTTAGCCAGGTGCAGTGGTTCACACATGTAATCCCAGCACTTTGGGAGGCCGAGGCGGGCAGATTACTTGAGGTCAGGAGATCAAGACCAGCCCGGCCAACATAGTGAAACCGCATCTCTACAAAAATTAGCTAGGCGTGGTGGCGGGCGCATATAATCCCAGCTGCTTGGGAGGTTGAGGCAGGAGAATTGCTTGAACCCAGGAGGTGGAAGTTGCAGTGAGCCAAGATCATGCCACTGCACTCTAGCCTGAGCCAGAGTGAGACTCTGTCAAAAAAAAAAAAAAAAAAAAAAAAAAAAAAGGCCGGGCACGGTGGCTTACTCCTGTAATCCAGGCACTTTGGGAGGCTGAGGCGGGAGGATCACGAGGTCAGGAGATCAAGACCATCCTGGCTAACACGGTGAAACCCCATCTCTACTAAAAATACAAAAAGGTAGCCGGGCGTGGTGGCGGGCGCCTGTAGTCCCAGCTACTCGGTACGCTGAGGCAGAAGAATGGCGTGAACCGAGGAGGCAGAGCTTGCAGTGAGCCGACATCACGCCACTGCACTCCAGCCTGGGAGACAGCAAGACTCCGTTTAGGGGAAAAAAAAAAAAAAAAAAAAAAAAAAAAGGCCATATGAAATGTCCAGAACAGGCAAATCCAGACACAGAAAGCAGATTAATGGTTGCCAGGGGCTGGAGAAAGAGAGACATGGTCAATGATACTAATAATGGGACTTCTTTTTCTTTTTTTAATCATCTCCTGGATATGGGGATCCTTTTTGGGATGATGAAATGTTGTGGAGTCGGACAGTAGAGAAAACTGTAAAACTATGAATATATAGTTGGCCATCCACATCCATTGATTCAACCAAGCAGATAAAAAATATTCAGAAAAAATAAAAATAAAAAATAACAGGCCAGGCGCAGTGGCTCATGCCTGTAATCCTAGTACTTTGGGAGGCCAAGGCAGGTAGATCACTTGAGGTCAGGAGTTCCAAGACCTGGCCAACATGGTGAAACCCTGTCTCTACTAAAAATATAAAAATTAGCCAGGCACATGCCTGTAATCTCAGCTACTTGGGAGGCTGAGGCAGGAGCATCACTTGAACCCAGGAGGTGGAAGTTTCATTGAGCCAAGATCGTGGACCACTGCACTCCAGCCTGGGCAACAGAGCGAGACTCCATCTAAAAAAATAAATAAATAAAAAATAACAATATAGCAATAAAAAATACAAATAACCAATATAGCATAACTATTCACATAGCATTTACGTTGTATTAGGTACTATCAGTAATCTAGAGATGATTTAAAGCATATGGGAGGATATGTGTAGGTTATATGCAAATACCATGCCATTTTATGTAAGAGACTTGAGTATTTGTGGATTTTGGTATCTGTGGGGTCCTGGAACCTATACACCACAGATAACAAGGGATAATTATATTACTACTAAAAATCACTTAGTTGCACCCTTTTCTTCTTTTTATATTTTAGATGGAGTCTCACTCTGTCACCCAGGCTGGAGTGCAGTGGCATGATCTCGGTTCACTGCAACCTCCCCCTCCCAGGTTCAAGTGATTCTTGCACCTCAGCCTCCTGAGTAGTTGGGATTACAGGCACATGCCACCACACCCAGCTAATTTTTGTATTTTTAGTAGAGATGGGGTTTCACCATGTTGGCCAGGCTGGTTTTGAACTCCTGACCTCAGGTGATCCACCCACCTCGGCCTCCCAAAATGCTGGGATTACAGGCATGAGTCACCATGCCCGGCCGGACTGCACACTTTTTTGAGATGAATCTTATGGTATGTGAACTATATCTCAACTTAAATAACCTGCATTTGCTTGTATATGCAAAAAGAACCACTGGAAAAGTAAACCAAATAGGAAATAAAAAGTGTTTATACCTATAAGAGAAGGAGGGAGGGAACATGGTAAAGAGACACACCTATAATCAAGGCTTTTTGAAAAAGAAACTGAAGCAAATCTACATATCAAGCTGGTGATATATTAAAACAATGATTTAAAGGGTATTTAAACATAGTATTATTCTAAGAACCACAGCTCCAAAAGTCTTAAACTTCATTCTGTAGACAAATTGATAATATTGGTATTATCATTTTGAAACAATATTGTATTAATGTTATGAACCAAGATTTTCGATGTAAGAAAAAAATAAAGTACAAAAAAATCCCCTGAAAATTGTTTAATGTGAAAATTTAAATTGGAATTATCAACATGAACCAATTATTTTCTTTTCAAAAATATGTCTTTAGTTCTTTCCACCGAAAAGTTCTAGAAACAGTAACAACCTTTTTATTTATTTATTTTTTTGAGACGCAGTCTCGCTCTGTTTCCCAGGCTGGAGTGCAGTGGTGCATCTCGGCTCACTGCAGCCTCCACCTCCTGGGTTCGAGAGATCCTCATGCCTCAGCCTTTCAAGTAGCTGGGATTACAGGTGTATGCCACCACACCCAGCTAATTTTTGTATTTTTTTTTTTTTGTAGAAACGGGGCTTCACTGTGTTGCCCAGGCTAGTCTCGAACTCGTGGGCTAAAGTGATCTGCTCGCCTCAGCCTCCCAAAGTGCCAAGATTACAGGCATAAACCACTGCGCCCTGCCAACGATGACAACCTAACAGCAACGGGCACATGGCACCCAGACTGTGGTTCCAACTATAAGGAACCAGGACTCCATGGAGGAATAGCTGATTCCAAGTCCAAGGTAAGCCTGGGAACTGTTGTTGTGTTAGAAAGCAGAGAGGCTATAACAAGACAAATGGGTCATGTCAAAAGCATAAATACAGCATGAGAAGCTCCAAAAATAACAACCAGGCCAGGCACGGTGGCTCGTACCTATAATCCCAGTACTTTGGGAAGCCAAGGCAAGTGAATCACTGGAGGCCAAGAGTTCAAGACCAGCCTAACAAGGCAAAACCCCATCTCTACTAAAAAATATGCAAACATTAACAAGACATTGGTGGTGGACGCCTGTAGTGCCAGCTGCTCAAGAAACTGTGGCATGAGAATCACTTGAACCAGGGAGGCCAGTATAATTACCCTCATAGAAAAGCTAAAGATATCACAAGAAAACATTACAGACCAATATCGCTCATGAACATCCAGACTCCTTTTCCTCCTTCCTTTCCACTCTCCCGCCCTCCTTCTCTATCTCTCCCTTCCTCTCATCCTTCCTTCCTTCCCTCCCTCCCTCTCTCTTACTGATTTATTATTTTTTGTAGAGGACAGGTCTCCCTATGCTGCCCAGGCTGGTCCAGAACTCCTAGGCCCAAGCAATCCTCCTGCCTTGGCCTCCCAAAGTGCTGAGATTACAGGCATGAGCCACCACATCCAGCCAGCTGTAAAAATTCTTAACAAATTATGACAAAACCAAGTCTAGCACCACATAAATAGGACTATACACCCTGACCAAATGGGATTTACCCTAGAAACACAAAGTTGGTTTTACATCCAAAAACCAACTACTAGCAGTAAAATTAGTAGCATACAGTACAAAAACAAGATCATCTCAACAGACACACGAAGGTGTTTGACAAGATCCAATACCCATTCATAATAAAAATTCTCAACATACTAGGAAGAGAAGGTAAATTCCTTCATCTGATAAAGGGCATCTATGAAAAAACTACAGCTAACATCAAATTTAATCATGAAAGGCCAGGTGCAGTGGCTCACACCTGTAATCCCAGCACTTTGGGAGGCTGAGGCAGGTGGATCATTTCAGGTCAGAAGTTCGGAACCAGCCTGACCAACATGGTGAAACCCCATCTCTACTAAAAAAAACAAAAATTAGCCAGGCATGGTGGCGAGCGCCTATAATCCCCACTACTCGGAAGGCTGAGGCAGGAGAATCGCTTGAACTCAGGAGGCAGAGGTTGCAGTGAGCCAAGATCACACCACTGCACTCCAGCCTGGGCAACAGAGTAAGACTTTGTCTTAAAAAAAAAAAATTAATCATGAAAGAATACATGCTTTTCCCCTAAGACTGGGAAAAAGACAAGGATACGTACTCTCACCACTTTTTTTTTTTTTGAGACAGATTCTCGCTCTATCACCCAGGCTAGAGTGCAGTGGCGCGATCTCGACTCACTGCAACCTCCACCTCCTGGGTTTAAGCGATTCTCATGCCTCAGCCACCTGAATAGCTGGGATTACAGTCATGAGCTACCACACCTGGATAATTTTGTATTTTTAGTAGAGATGGGGTTTCACCACGTTGGCCAGGCTGGTCTAGAACTCCTGGCCTCAGGTGATCTGCCTGACTCGGCCTCCCAAAGTGCTGGGATTGCAGGTGTGAGCCACTGCGCCCGGCCTCACCACTTCTATTCAACATTGTACTCAAGGTTCTAGCCAGAAAAAGAAAGTAGGCCGGGCACTGTGGCTCATGCCTGTAATCTCAGCACTTTGGGAGGCCAAGGCAGGTGGATTACCTGAGATCAGGAGTTCAAGACCAGCCTGGCCAACATGCTGAAACACTGTCTCTACTAAAAATACAAAATTATCCGGGTATGGTGGCTCACGCGTGTAATCCCAGCTTCTCAGGAGGCTGAGGCAATAGAATCTCTTGAACCCGGGAGGCAGAGGCTGCAGTGAGCCCAGATTACGCCATTGCACTCCAGCCTGGGTGACAGTGGGAGACTCAGTCTCCAAAAAAAAAAAAAAAAAAAGGAAATTAAGGCCAGGTGCAGTGGCTCATGCCTGTCATCCCGACATTGGAAGGCTGAGACAGGAAGACTGCTTGATCCCAGGAGTGTGAAACCAGCCTGGGCAATATGGCAAGACCCTGTCTCTATAACAATTTTTTGAAAAAACTAGCTGGGGGCCAGGCACGGTGGCTCATGCCTGTAATCCCAGCACTTTGGGAGGCCAAGGCGGGCAGATCACTTGAGGTCAGGAGTTCAAGACTAGCCTGGCCAACATGGTGAAAACCCGTCCCTACCAAAAATACAAAAATTAGCTGGGTGTGGTGGTGTATGCCTGTAATCCCAGCTACTTGGGAGGCTGAGCCAGGAGAATCACTTGAACCTGGGAGGTGGAGGTTGCAGTGAGCTGAGATTGCGCCACTGTATTCCAGCCTGGGCAACACAGCGAGACTCAAAAAAAAAGCTGGGCATGTGCCTGTAGTCCCAGCCTCGGGAGACTGATGTGGAAGGACTGCCCAAGCCCAGGTCAAGGCTGCAGTGAACCATGATCATGCCACTGCACTCCAACCTGAGCAACAGAGGGAGACCATGTCTCAAAAAAAAGCAAGAAAGAAAGGAAATTAAAGGCATCTAGCTTGGAAAGGCAGAAGCAAAACTATCTTTACTCTCAGATGACATGATCTTTTATGTAGAAAACACTAAGAAATCTATTTTTTAAAAACTACTAAAACTCAGCCAAGTGTGGTGGCTCATGCCTGTAATCCCAACAACATTTTGGGAGGCCAAGGTGGGAATACCACTTGAGGCCAGGAGTTCAGGACGAGCCCAGGCAACACAAAGACTCCATTTCTACAAAATAATAGAAATTAGCTAGATGTGGTGGTGTGAGCCTGTAGTCCTATTGCAGGAAACTGAGGACTGGAGAGACTGATACGGAGAACAGGAGGATTGTTTATTTTAGGTACGCACCAGCTCAGTGGATTCACATCCAAAAAGCTGAGCATTAAACAAAGACGGAGTGGGGTTTTTGTAAGCGGACTTACAAAAGTAAAACAAAAGCAGTTAATCATGACAGGTCACATACTTTATAGCATAGCATAACTTGTGGCCTTGCATAGCTGGTGACCTTATAGCTGCATTGAAAGAAAAATAAGAACTGGCTAAATACAGACATTTGCAAAACACAGTTATGCTTAAGAAGCCAGGGAAAGGAGTAACAGTAAAGGAATTTGTCTTTCCTTTTTTTTTCCTTCAACCTTGCTCTGGAAGAGGGGGTGTCTGGAGTCCATTCCTTTGGCCTTGGCTTCTCAAACAGCGTTATCTTATAACTGTCCTTGAAGTGAGCTTGCTAGGCAGAGGAAAACTTGTTCTTTTCTTTTTAACCCTTGCCTTGCCTGTTACTTTTCTTGGAGTGAATGAATGCATATTTATTTTTAAATTTCTGCCTCAGTCCCAGCTACTGGGGAGGCTGAGGTGGGAAGATCACTTGTTCCCAGGAGTTCAAAGGCTTCAGTGAGCTATGATGGTGCCACTGCACTCTAGCCTGGGCAATAGAGTGAGACTTTGTCTCTAAAAAAATAAACAGAAAAGAAAAAAAAAAATGGGGTGTAGGAGGAGGGGGAGAACATCAGGATGAATAGCTAATGGATGCTGGGCTTAATATCTAGGTGATGGGATGATCTGTGCAGTAAACCACCATGGGACACCTTTACCTAGGTAACAAACCTGCACATCCTACACATGTACCCCTGAACTAAAAAGCTGGAAGAAAAAAAAAAAAGAAACTACTAAAACTCAAGCATTTACCAAGGTTGCAAGATCAATGTACAAAATTCAATTGTATTTCTATATACTACCAATGAACAACTCAAAAATAAAATCAAGAAAACATTTCATTTGAAATAGCATCAAACATGAAATACTAGAAGTAACTAGAGCATCAATTCCTTATTCTCAAAATTCACAATTAAAAGAATTACATATTTATCCTGTCTTGCCTATGCAAATGATCAAATAGCCCTACTTGATATTAGTGGAAGAGTCCAACTAAAGAGTCGCACAGTACAGAAGAATTCCAACTAATGTGAAAGGAGTAAAGGAATAAGAAAAACCACCATTTTACAATCCTTTATGAAATAAGAGATTCAGGTATCATTTAGGAATGAAATCAAAAGGTGAAAGGTTGGCTGGGTGTGGTGGCACGTGCCTGTAATCCCAGCACTTCGGGAGGCCAAGGCAGGCAGAGCACTTGAGGTCAGGAGTTCAAGACCAGCCTGGCCACATGGTGAAACCGTCTCTAGTAAAAATACAAAAATTAGTCGGGCGTGGTGGCACGCGCCTGTAATACCAGCTACTCGGGTGGCTGAGACGGGAGAATTGCTTGAACCCAGGAGGCGGAGGCTGCAGTGAGCCAAGATCACGCCACTGCACTCTCGCCTGGACAACAGAGTAATACTGTCTCAAAAAAAAAAAAAAAAAAAAGAAAGTGAAAGGTTCATAGGGAACCTTATAATACAGGGATCAGGCCAGCTGAACCCATGGATCAATTTTGACAACCAAGCACTGTGAGCTTCCTGATGTGACACAAAACGAAGCACACAGAACCATCTCTGACATATTCTTGCCCAAAACTTCCAAACTTTGAAGCTTTTAGAGCTTACTTACATTTATAGGAAACGTAGAGAAACAAGTTAAATGACATAAATGGAAGCAAACCAATATATCCAGAATGTGGGCTATTCTATAGGAGTCAACTGACTCTGTTTTGCAACAACTCTATGAAAAAAACAAACAAACAACAACAACAACAACAACTCAATGTAGAAAGATCTAGATTTTTAAAGACTTAATAACCAAATATAATATTGGATCTTGTTGGATCCTGATTTAAACAAACCAACTTTAAAAGACATTTTCGAAACAAGTAGAAAAAACTGAACATGGATTGGTTATAAGATAAAACCAAGGAAATATTAATTTTGACAGGTATAACACCACTGTTGCTATATAAAAAAAAATTTCTCTACTTTGGTGAATCTTTCACATAATCTGACACAGTAAAGTAAAATAAAAACGCTCTACAATCCAAGCAAAACACATCTGAAGTCCACATCTAGCCTACAGGATACCAGTTTGCCACCTCTGCTTAGAACTTGTCATCATATTAAAAAACTGCTCTACTTCTAAGATCTCAACTCTGAAATGTACATCCCTGATTGTTTATAACTCTCCAACTTCCTTGCTCCTGCTGCAGTAGCTTGCTTTCCTCATAAGTAACTTTCCAGTTCCTCCTCTCCACTTGTCATGTTCTGGCTTCCCCTTGTTTCCCACGGCCAGTCATTCAACAATGACCTGATTCCATTCTAGAATCCCTCTCCTCCTTGAGTTCATCTCTTCCTCAGCAAGCCTCTGCTCTGATTAACCTCCATCACCTATTTTCTCCAGTACCCAGCTTTTAAACTGTTAAGCAGTAGCAGAGAAAAGTAATAAAATCTGAACAGGTCTACTAAAAAAAGTTATGCTACTTACTCTCAGCTATGTCCTCATTCACTGTTACTTAGCAATCCTTTTATTCATTCTAATTGGTTCAATCAACAAATTCTAAAAAGCTGTTGTGTGCCAGGAATTTTCTCACCTCCAACAAACTTACAAGGCTAGTCTACAGAGCCCCTCTAGCACTCATCATCCAACATTTTTCTAACCCCTCTTATAAATATGTGAGTCAGCCTGACAACTGGAAAGCCCCCTTTCCCTCCTTATCTTCACTACCACTTTTTTTTTTTTTTTTTTGAGACAGGGTCTCGCCCTGTCACCCAGGCTGCAGTGCAGTGGCGCAATCACAACTCACTGCAGCCTCAACCTCCTGAAACTACCATGCTTTTTTTTTTTTTTTTTTTTGAGACGGAGTTTCGCTCTTGTTGCCCAGGCTGGAGTGCAACGGTGCAATCTCAGCTCATTGCAACCTCTGCCTCCCAGGTTCAAGCAGTTCTCCTGCCTCAGCCTCCCAAGTAGCTGGGATTACAGGCATGTGCCACCATGCCCGGATAATTTTTTATTTTTTTAGTAGGCTAATCTCAGCAGGGTTTCACCATGTTGGTCAGGCTGGTCTCGAACTCCTGACCTCAAGTGATCCACCTGCCTCGGCCTCCCAAAGTGTTGGGATTACAGGCGTGAGCCACCACGCCAGGCCACTACCATGCTTCTGATTATTGATTATTCATCAATAATCCTCACCTGCTGCCTCCATTGCTGTATAACTTTATAGCCAGCCAATCATTTGTGGAGTTGAACAGATTCTTCCACTGGGTCTCTTTCCATGCTCCCTGCCACTACACTGGAGCAGACTTCTTGACCAGACTGAAAAAAAGTCTTCTCATCTCTTCCTGTTTTAGTTTAGCTTCTGCATCACTGCCAGATAAATCTTCAGTAAGCCAAGTTCTCATCAGGTTGTACCTCCAGTAGGCTCCACAAACTCTCCTTCCTGGCATTTTAGGCCCTTCTTAAACTACCTTCCCCATCTTGTTTTCCAAGTAAATCACCATGTCCTACAGGAAAAAAGTCCTTCTAACAAGATACAGGCTTTTCCCTGCGCTGTACCTGACTTCTGGTTGAGAGGATGAGATATATCTGCACAGAGTGAGCAAACTGACAGAATTGCAGGGAATTAATTTAAGGCTCCAAACAGAAAATGGGTCACTAAATCTTACTCCTCTTTTCTCTTCTCCACATCTGCAATGATAAGGTTTGTGGTTCTGTTTGCCAAAGGCATAGTTTCTGCCAAAATGGTGACTCAAGCAGGATCACTAACACCTGCTCAGAAGGCAGTAATATTACTGGTGCTGCTACAACTTATATCAGTCTTTTTACTTTCTTCTGATATGAAATCCTCCCCAAGGATAAAAATGTCAATTCCTAAAGAAGAGGGTCCATGTTTTATGTAACTTATAAAGCACCCAGCAGAGTGCCAAACAAATTTGCTGATCTCTTCAAAAGAAGGCTTTATTAGAAACACAGCTGAAAATAATAATTAGATGTCCCCCCCCCAACCTTGATTATAAGAATTAAGGGCCTTGATTTCTGATTCTGTCATGATGATGAGAAGCTTTCTATCTTTATAGTGAACAGTTTGTTTCTTTTTAGTTGTCTTTATATCACCCCCACAACCCTTTTATTCTTTTGTCTACTTTTCCTAAAATCTATGAATGGCAGAGGTTCTGATACCTGAGTGAACCACCAGATGTTTTCGGAGGCTAGAATACTCAGCAAAGGAACGGCCACATCCTTGGGCTTCACAAAGGAAAGGTTTCTCTCCTAGAGACAGAAAATGAGATAAAGACTCAGTCTTCTGATGAACTGATTACCTGTTACTCTCTTTTCCCACCAACTTTATTCAGAGTCTAATGACTTACCTACTCTGATTTATTTAATTCATGTTATAATTTCAACTGGGCTACCTAGCAAGTGTTGCCTCTCAATGATCTTTTAGTATATATGCCACCAGACAGCCTTGCCCTTTTCCTTGGAATGTAAGCCTATATTTCCTTCTCCCTCCTGGCCCAAGAGCTGGAGAGTTGCATTAACCTACCTTCTTCAGTGACTCCCACCATCTGAGGATATCAAGATTAATACTGTATATGCTGTCAGGATTTTTACCTTACATCAATTTTCTTTATGACTCAGTTTGTAGATCCATCTAAAAGTATAATTTTTTTGGAGAGGAAGTCTCACTATGTTTCCCAGGCTGATCTCAAATTCCTGGGCTCAAGCCTGGGCTACAGAGAGAGAGACCCTGTCTCAAACAAAAAAACAAACAAACAAAAAAGATGCAGTCTCTATCCTCCAAGGGTCACAAACTAGTGTGAGACAGACAAATGAATTCATAAATACAAAAAAAAGTGCTCCGTTGCAGTAATTTTTGTAAGCAGCTGAATTTCTGAGTTCATCTAAAAGATGACAAGGATGGAAGGAAATTTCAGGCACCAGGAATACTGTGAGCAGAGCCTTGAAACAGAGTGCCCGGGGAAAGTTCAGAAAATGGCTAGTAAGGCTGGCACAGTGACAATATGGGAGCTGAGCTTTCTGGGAGGGAACAGCACTGCTAGATTATACTATTCTTTTAGACTGTACCACACAGTTTAATGTTTGAGACTCTCCACCGGTAGCTTTTTTCAATGTTTTAATTGTATACTCATCCCTCAGAATGCTAGGTACTCAAAAAGTTATTGAAAGAATGAGCAATATACTAATATATATAACAGAACAAATGTAAAAAAAAAATTTTAGTAATAACAAGATCAAATGTTTCAAAAGATGAACTAAAGAACTGAAAAAACAAAAAGGATTTAGAAAAAGATTCTACATAAGAATGTAATGGCATGAAATCTCTGCATCAAGCTGGTTAGGGGACATACCTGCCTATTTGGAAACTTGAGAGGATGGTTATTTCACTGGGATAACGGACACAGGAGAAGGAAGAGGTTTAAAAGACAATGCAGCAAAATGGTGAAAAACATGGCCTTTGGGGTCTGTTAATCCAATTCTGACTTCAGATCCTGGCACTACCACTTATTTGCATGGGGAAGGTGTTTAATCTCTCTAAAAATCAGCTTTTCATCTACAATATGGAGATAATACAATTTCAAAAGAGTGTTTTGAGGATTAAATAATACCAGGTAAATATTCAGCATAGTGCCTGGCACATAGTAAGCCCTCATAGTAAGCCACTGAATTAACAGATTTACTTTTTTTTTTTTTTTTCAAGACAGAGTTTCGCTCTTGTTGCCCAGTCTGGAGTACAATGGCACAATCTCCACTCACTGCATCCTCTGTCTCCTGGGTTCAAGCGATTCTCCTGCCTCAGCCTCCCTAGTAGCTGGGATTACAGGCATGTGCCACCATGCCCCAGCTAATTTTTGTATTTTTAGTAGAGATGGGATTTCACCATGTTGGTCAGGCTGGTCTGGAACTCCTGACCTCAGGTGATCCACTCGCCTCGGCCTCCCAAAGTGCTGGGATTACAGGCATGAGCCATTGCACCCAGTCAAAATTTTTTTTTTTGAGATGGAGTCTCGCTCTGTCTCCTAGGATGGAGTGTAGTGGCGCAATCTCGGCTCACTGCAACCTCTAACTCCCGAGTTCAAGCACTTCTCCTGCCTCAGCCTCCCGAGTAACTGGGATTACAGGCACCCATCACCATGCCTGGCTAACTGTATTTTTAGTGGAGATGGGGTTTCACCGTGTTGGCCAAGCTGGTCTCGAACTCTTGCCCTCAAGTGATGTGCTCACCTCAGCCTCCCAAAGTGCTGGGATTACAGGTGTGAGCCACTGGGCCCGACCTGAACTGCAGCTTTACTATCATTACTACTAATAAAGCTTTGAGGTCAATTTTGACATTTGAGATAAACTGAGTTGTCAGCATTTAAAAATAAAATCCTTGGAAGAGCTTTGGGGTCATATCAGAATTCAAATTCCAGCTCTGCCATTTCCTACCTGCATGATGTTGGGCAAGTTACTTCTCTCTCTAATCTTCTGTTCCTTTATCAATAAGTACAGTATCTAATGCATAAAGTTACCTTAAAGATTAAATGAGATAATGTATATGTGGTTGGTACATACTAAAGTGCCTCAACAAATGCTAACTTTTATTATTATATTAATTATTATTGAGATTCAGATCTGTGAGGCATCTAGGGAGAAATAATTAAATAGAGGCCTGAGATTATGACAAGAGAGTACACTGAGTAAAAGAGAAGGAACAAGAAATTCTGAAACTGGTGAAACATTCAGAGATTAACAGAGATAAAAGCTAGAAAGAATTAGAGAAAAAAAAACAACGGGAAAATCAGGTCATATTTTGAAGTAAAAGCATTTTAAGTCTGGGCGTGGTGGTTCACATATATAATCTCAGCACTTTGGGAGGGCAAGGTCGGCGGATCACTTGAGGTCAGGAATTCGAGAACAGCCTGGCCAACATGGCAAAACCCGGTCTCTACAAGAAATACAACAATGTCTGGGCGTGGTGGTGCACACCTGTAATCCCAGCTACTGGGAAGCTGAGGCATGAGAAAAGCTTGAACCCAGGAGGCAGAGGTTGCAGTGAGCTGAGATCGCATCACTGCACTCCAGCCTGGGCGACAGAGTGAGACTCCGTCTCAAAAATAAATAAATAAGAAAAAAGAAAGCATTTTAAGATGATGTTCAGAGGTATCAAATGCTACAACAATGGGCTGGTCTGAAGGTAGTGAGTTATCTCAACTGATGTTCACAGTCAGTTACAGATCAAGTGCCTTGTTTTACTTTTTCCCCTCTTCTCACTACTGCATTTGACTAATTAAAAAAAAAAAGTATAGGCTGGGCACAGTGGCTCAAGCCTGTAATCCCAGCACTTTGGGAGGCTGAGGAGGGCAGATCACGAGGTCAGGAGATCGAGACCATCCTGGCTAACACGGTGAAACTCTGTCTCTACTAAAAATACAAACAAAAAAAATTAGCTAGGCCTGGTGGCGGGTGCCTGTAGTCCCAGCTACTCAGGAGGCTGAGGCAGGAGAATGGCATGAACCCAGGAGGTGGAGCTTGCAGTTAGCCGAGATCTCGCCACTGCACTCCAGCCTGGCAACAGAGCAAGACTCCATCTCAAAAAAAAAAAAAGTATGTGTGTATATATATATATATATATATATATATGTGTGTGTGTGTGTGTGTGTGTGTATATATATGTATGTATGTGTATATATATGTATGTGTATATATGTATGTATATATATGCCTTTTATTTTTATATTTTATATATGCCTTATATTTTTATATATGCATTTTATATATGCCATATATATGCCTTTTAATTTTACCTGCTGTCATTTTGCCAATGCAAGAATCAAGAAGAGTCAAAGTGGCAAGTAAGTGGGGAAGAATAGTTACACATTCTAAGAGTGGTGTGGGTTCAGTGATTATACTTTGGCTAGAGACTAGCTCACGCTGGACCAAGTGGCTTGGAAAATCACCCTTAGACTCTTAGATTAAGAGTCAAGGAATCTTTATTTTGCTCCTGTGATATTAACATACTGTGTGACCCAGAATAATTCACTTCTCTATTCTGTTTCTCACGTTGTGAGGCTCTAACAAGAAAGTCAGGGATTATATCTTATCTTTTGTATTTTTTTCCCACCCTGCCCCATTTAGTGCCTAGAACAGGTTCTGTATGGTTTGTGTGACTCAGTAAATGTTACTGCCCAAAATCATAACTGCGCAGTGTTCAGAAAGATTTGAACACAGACTGATTTTGTCCACATCTCCCCACATCATTGTTGTCTGAGAAGGTCTTACAGCTCTCCCTGCAGGTTAGGCTCCTGAAAACAGAAATCAACACTGTCTACTCTACACACACAGGTAAAAATACAATAAATGTTATTATAAGTGCAACAAGTCATTTGAAAAAGAAATCCCATCTTCAGAGTTCTAGCAACAACCCCAGACCTTCATTTCTATTCCCACTTGAGTCTTTCCTAAGGAGAGGCAAACATGCAGAGCCAAGGAGCAGACTGCCCAAAGGAATGTTGGTGCTGCACACACCTGTGTGGATGCGCCGGTGGTTCTTCAGGTTTCCAGCTGTAGTAAACTGCTTACCACAGCCAGACTCATGGCACATAAAGGGCTTCTCTCCATTGTGGGTCCTCATGTGCACCTTCAGCCTCTGCAGCACATAGAAGCTTTTCCCACAACCTTCTGCAGGACAGATGAAGGAGCGGTCATTTCTGCAAAAATAATCACATAAGGAAAAATATCTGAAAACACTCTTTGCTAGAGATGACAAGTCAAAGCCCCTATTGACTCTCAAGGCAAACAGTAAGTCCAAAAACTGGATATATCAGAATCAACTGAAGACTTTGTTAAAACTATAGCTGGGTGGTGGCTCACGCCTGTAATCCCAGCTACTCTGGAGGCTGAGGCAGGAAGATTACTTGAGCCCAGGAGTTTGAGATCAGCTTGGGCAACATAGCGAGACCCTGTCTTTAAAAAATGTTTTTTTAATTAGCCAGGTGTGGTGGTGCAAGCCTGTAATCCCAAGTGAGGCTGAGGTAGGAAGATGACTTGAGCACAGGAGTTCGAGGCTGCAGTGAGCTATGATGGCGCCACTGTACTCCACCCTGGGTGACAAAGTGAGATCCTGTCTCTTAAACAAAAAAAATCAAACAAAAAACTACAGATGCCTAGCACCACCCCTTAAACTGATCTCATAGGTTCAAGGTAGGAGCCCATGCTTATTTGTTACTTTTAAGTTCTCAAAGGAAATATGTTTTATAATAAAATTTGAGAACTCTTGGTTTAAGGCCTTTAGGTCCCAAATGTCTTATTAAATATTTATCAAGAATGAGATAAATGAGACAATGCAAATCCTTCTATTAAAGAAAAAAAGATATCTTAACCAGAAGTTAACTGGAGTCCCTACTTTCCTGTAATTTGTCAACCTGAGGGGCAAGTTCCTCTGGAAGAATCAACTTTTGCATCAACGTATATCCAAATATGAGATCTCGGATTTGCTCACCGATGAGTCTTGAGGTGGTATTTAAAGTGAGCTGGCCATACAAATGTCCGGTCACAACCTTCAACTGTACACTTGAGCTTCTTTTCCACTTGAGGAAGGGGCCCAGAATCTTTTGACTGCCCATCACCAGAACCAAGGTGGACATTTTCTCCTGTAACAGAGTCACATATTTGTAATCCAGGGAAAGACCCTACTCAGATACTTAGGCTCAAACAATAAAGCTCCTATATTTTACTCCTAGTGATCATTAATCAGGTATCTATCTTCATCTTCCCCAGTTATCTTTGTATGCACTTAACAGCAGAAACTTGGCCAGGCATGGTGCTCACACCTATAATCCCAAGCACTTTGGGAAGCCAAGGTGGGAGGACTGCTTGAGCCCAGGTGTTCCGAGACTAGCATGGGCAACATGGTGAAACCATATCTTTACAAAACACAAACAAACAAACAAACAAAAATTAGACAGGCATGGTGGCGCAGTCCTGTAGTTGAGGCTCCAAGGCTGAGGCAGGAAGATCACTTAAGCCTGGGAGGTTGAGGCTATAGTGAGCTGTGACTGCACCATTGCACTCCAGCCTGGGTGACAGAGCAAGAATCTGTCAAAAAATAAATAAATATAATGAAACAATAGAAATGCAAGTGTTCTACATCCTCATTCCCTTACTCCAGAAAAACTACCAAAAACTATCATGCTTTGTTTCACAAGACTAGGCCTCTTTGACAAATGTAAGAGATATCCAAAATGGTTTGCTATTAGAAATCAGAATTAAAACCATTTTGCATTACACAGTTTGGTGGAGAAGCAGGGATAGCAACACTATCCCTGAGTAGGGTGCTACAAAGATGACAAAGTTCTGAGTAATAAAAACTCTGTATTTTGCTTGTGTCCGGGAGGCGGAGGCTGCAGTGAGCCGAGATTGCACCACTGCACTCCAGTCTGGGCAACAGAGTAAGACCCTGTTTCAAAAACAAACAAACAAAAAATCCCACTGTATTTTAAGAAGAAGTAGTCATTCTGGTTCAGTGTGGGCTCTGACAGCCATTTTTAGATTTCCATCTTCTGAAAGGAATTTGGCTATTTCTTGTCATTCTGCAAACTAAGAACCACCTTCCAATTTCCTGTACCACCCTTCTTTAGTTATAAAATACTTAAGGAATTCAAAAACTCAGATGATTTTTAAATTTCTAACCACATTTTAAAAAGTAAGAGAAAATATCTACTGGAGTTTTGTTCAACAGAATAAAGAGAGGTGAGGAGAGGAGTACAAAGTGCCTCCCTTAAATGTAAACAAAATCAGTTACTTAAAAATTTTTATATAAATTCCAGATTAGCAGGTGGTGGTCCTTTTCTTTCACTTTCTTCAAGAAATACTTGAACATCAATAGAGAAAAAAATTAATAGTCATTTAATTCTGCCATGAGCATATGCAGGCAGTGTATCTTTCCACTATATATACCTTAGCAATAAGATTTGTATCTCCAAATTTCCCCCTCAATAGCCAAAAGTAGAATATATATGTTGTGCCTATCACAGCCCCTAGAACCTGATGGTTAATCAAAGGCAGTTTCTGTCCCATCTATTAATCTTCTCCTTGCTATACTTTACCAAATACTAGTCATAAAACTAATTGCTCCAAGGTCAGAGCAGAACCTAGGATGCTTCCTGCTAGTTACTATTAAGTTTTTCTTTAATATTGCCCCAAGGTTTTTAAAAATGTGTTTACTTGAAAAATATCAGGGCCAGGCGCAGTGGCTCACGCCTGTAATCCCAACACTTTGGGAGGCCGAGGTGGGTGGATCATGAGGTCAGGAGATCCAGACCATCCCGGCTAACACAGTGAAACCCCGTCTCTACTAAAAATACAAAAAAAAAAATTAGCCAGGCATGGTGGCAGGAGCCTGTAGTCCCAGCTACTCGGGAGGCTGAGGCAGGAGAATGGCGTGAACCCAGGAGGTGGAGCTTGCAGTGAGCCGAGATCGCGCCACTGCACTCCAGCCTGGGCGACAGAGCGAGACTCCGTTTCAAAAAAAAAAAAAAAACTACACATATAGCACAAAAATACATATGCCGTGAAGGAATCTTCCCACCAACCCCAGAACTCCAGCTAATTGATTTCTAATGAAAGGTCTGTTAACATCATGCTTTTTTCTTTTAAATTTTTTCTTTTTTTTTTTTTGAGACAGGGTCTCATTTTGTTGCCCAGGCTGGAATCCAGTGGCATGATCTCGGTTCACTGCAGCCTCGACCTCCCCAACTCAGGAGATCCTCCCACCTCAGCCTCCCAAGTAGCTGGGACTAGAGACAGGTGTGCACTACCACACCTGGCTAATTTTTTCTATTTTTTTTTTGTAGAGATGGGGTTTTGCCATGTTGCCCAGGCTGGTCTCCTGAGCTCAACAGATCCACCCGCCTCGGCCACCCAAAGTGCTGGGATTACAGGCATGAGCCACTGCACCGGCCAAAAAAATCATGCTAATACAGTGATTCAAATCAGTGATAGTAGGGGCTTTCTGGATTCCGTTTTATAGATACAATAAGAATATTAATATAATCATAAAATAGGAAAAATGAATACATAGAATAAGGCAAGGCTAAGAAATCACTGAAACTCCTCCTGCTCAAGAATGAAGATTATCAATATATGGTCAAATAAATATAACGCAAATTTTTCCCTAAAAAAAAAAAAAAATCCCTCAGAAAAGAGTGTATTTGAGTTCTATCATGTTGGCCAGGCTGGTCTTGAACTCCTGACCTCCAGTGATCTGCCCACCTTGGCCTCCCAAAGTGCTGGGATTATAGGTGTGAACCACTGCGCCCGGCTGCCGTATGGTTTCTGTTACAACTACTCAGCTTTGCCATAGTAGCAGCCTTAGACAATTTGTAAGTAATGTGGATGCCTATGTTCCCATAAAACTTTAATTATAAAAACAGGTGGGGATTTGGCCCAAAGGCCTTTGCTGATCTGATATACAACATCTTATGCAAAATTAAAACGTTTCTGTATTTCAAACAACTTAGACTGTAAGTGAAGATAACATGCTCTGAAAAACTATGCTAGAGGACTCATAAAGTGACTTCAGTGTCAACAATGACAAAAATATTTATGTTAAAAATGCATTAAAATATTGAATAAAATCACTTCATTACATGTTAGTGCAAGGGTGTCCAATCTTTTGGCTTCCCTGAGCCACACTGAAAGAAGAAATGTCTTGGACCACACATAAAATATACTAATACTAATGACAGCTGGTGAGCTTTAAAAGCAAACAAACAAAAAAATCTCATAATGTTTTAAGAAAGTTTACGAATTTGTGTTGGGCTGCATTCAAAGGTATCCTGGGCCACACGTGCCCACAGGCCGTATGTTGGACAAGCTTGTGTTAGTGGGTGAAAGCAATATTGATATATTTCATATGATTTAAAATGTATATGTGGGACCACGCACGGTGGCTCACGCATGTAATCCCAGCACTGCGGGAGGCAGAGGCAGGCAGATCACCTTGGGTCAGGAGTTTGAGACCAGCCATGGCCAACACGGTGAAACCCTGTGTCTACTAGAAATACAAAAATTAGCTGGGCATGGTGGCATGCACATGTAGTCCCAGCTACTCGGGAGGCTGAGGCAGAGAATCACTTGAGCCCAGGAGGCAGAGTTTGCAGTGAGCCGAGATTGCGCCGCTGCACTCCAGCCTGGGCGACAGACTGAGACTCGGTCTCAAAAAAAAAAAAAAAATTAAAATGTGTATGTATAACCAAAATCATAAAGCTTCCAAATAGCAACCTATAATGTTAATTTTATCTACATGCTTAAAAGTTTACATAACTAAGTTAGAAAAAAATAAAAGGCTTTTAGGGTATTATCTTGTTGGAAAATAAAAGATTGTCTTATATTTGGGGTGATTTTTTTTTTTTTTGGGAGACCAAGTTTCGCTCTTGTTGCCCAGGCTGGAGTGCAGTGGTGCGATCTCCACTCACTGCAACCTCCACCTCCCGGGTTCAAGCAGTTCTGTCTCAGCCTTCCTGAGTAGCTGGGATTACATGCATGCGCCACCACGCCCAGCTAATTTTGTATTTTTAGTAGAGACGGGATTTCTCCACGTTGGTCAGGCTGGTCTCGAATTCCTGACCTCAGATGATCTGCCTGCCTCGGCCTCCCAAAGTGCAGGGATTACAGGCATGAGCCACAATGCCCAGCCTATTTGGGGTGATTTTATATTCAGGCATACAAAGTAGTTGTTAAGATAGTAAGGCAACATACTTTGAGAGTAAGAAAAACATCCACACAATGCTTTGCTGATTATAACATTTCCCAGATAGAATGTTACATAATCTCCATAACAAGCCAGTCAGGAAAGCTGCCTGATCTCTATGTTCAGATCGTAAGAAAATTGAAGCTAAGGGAGGTTAAACTGCCCAAGGCAGGGAACCAGTAAATGATGGTGCCAGGCCTGGATCCCAGGGCTCCCAGATTCTAAATTGCAAGCTCCCCTCCCTACGCTGCTTCTCATTGGCAAATATGACACTATTTCTTCAATGTAAGAGGAAATGCTGAAGGTTTCAGCATCTGGAGATTGGCACATATATCTCAGGAAGAATCTGAACTTTAAGGGTCCCACCAAAATGTTAAAATGAACCATTCTAAGTAGCACTATGGTAGTCATAAACAGAACTAAGTATTTTGAAAACAAACAGTTTAGAGTTTGGCTGGGGATGGTTGCTCACACCTAAAATCCCAGCACTTAGGGAGCCAGAGGCAGGAGGAGACCCTGAGTCCAGGAGTTTGAGACCTGTCTGGCAACAGAGCAAAACCTCATTCTCCATAAAAAGGGAAAAAAAAAGACCAAAAAAAAAAAAGATTTAATGTTTCAAAATATTCATAGGGAACTCTAGTTCTCTATGAGAAATTTTAACTTTTTATTTTCATTTGAATGGTAATCAAAAAATAATAATAAGCATATACTAGATAATCTGCATAAACTCCAAACAACTGTGTACTAAGTGCTTAAGCTTAGTTTGTGATAATGATAGCATTAAACCATGTTGTATTGAGTTGTGTCACATGTTAATGAGAAAACACAGAGGCAGACCTAAAAAAGTATCCATGACATGCTACATAAGCAAAGATTCTGCAGTGGTCTGAATAGAGCCGTGGTTCTCAAGCTTTAACATGTATCAGAACCAAGTTTTTGACTCAGTAGGTCTGGCATGGGCCTGAGAGTTTATATTTCTCAGTTCCCACGTGACGTCAATGATCCAGTGACAATGCTTTGAAAATTACTAGAACAGAGAAAAGTGACACAGAGTAAGTAGTATAGGCATGCTGAACTGAAAAGAAAAAGCATTAAAACCATCATAGCTAATTGTTAAACTGCCATGAGCAGCAATTTAGTTTCAGCAAAACATAATCCTCTGCCACAATGACTTAATGTTATTTTTATTTTCATGGATTTGGTAGTTTTATTCCTATTAACTGATAAAAACTGTTTTGATTTCATGATGGTATAAGAGCTCTAAGTATATGAAGTTTACACAGAATTTATGTTTTTGCATATTTAAGAGACATTACAATAAAAACAATTCAAACCCCAGGATGTATATTATTTTTTCTTTAAAAGGGGCTCTGTACATTATTTAAAGTTGAGAATTCAGAATACTAGTTGGTTTTGAACACAAATCTGGCATGACCAAGTTATTTTATAGAAAATAAAATTTAAACAATTTACAGATTTCTAGCCTTCTGCTCTCATCAATAGAATAATTTAAATTATATACAACTCAAACCAGCCACTGCATTACCAAAATCTCTTTGCACAGAATAGTGGCAAGGAAAATGCCGACGGGCCTCACCATTGCTGCTGGTTTTTGCATTCTTTGCCAGTTGTGCACGAGTAGCAGCAATCAAACTGTCATGGGCCAACTCCTGAACCCGGAGGAACCATGGAATGCTACTGTCTGTGCTCTCACTGGAGAGGAAATCATTCCCTGAATCTTCTGCCTCATCCTGTACAAACACTAAGTGCTCAGCTGAAGAGCCCAGACCTGGAAGAAACAAAATATATGAAAAGTTAGAAACCAAGCAAGCTTTTTATTTGCCCTGGCTCAGAGACTCTCCATGTCCCTTTTTTTTTTTTTTTTTTTGAGACGGCGTCTCGCTCTGTCACCCAGGCTGGAGTGCAGTGGCGCAATCTCGGCTTACTGCAACCTCCGCTTCCCAGGTTCAAGTGATTCTCCTGCCTCAGCCTCCTGAGTAGCTGGGATTACAGGCATGCACCACCACGCCCGGCTAATTTTTGTATTTTTAGTAGAGACGGGGTTTCACCATGTTGGTCAGGCTGGTCTTGAACTCCTGACCTCGTGATTCGCCCACGTCGGCCTCCCAAAGTACTGGGATTACAGGCGTGAGCCACTGCGCCTGGCCCAGAAACTCTCCATGTCCTAAATAAGCTATTCCTGACCTTCGCCTTTTACCTCAAACTTCTCACTGAAGAGCAGGCTATCATCTTTCTACCTTTAGTCTACAGGCTTGTCATTACCTTGCCTCCTCTGGTTTCAAGGCAAAGCTGTCTTTCTTGGTCAACCAGACTAATCCCCACCTACTGTATTTCATTCTCATTCTTCAATTATCCCCCCATATATACTTGTGTTATCTCCTCTCTCCTATCTGCAACTAGTTCCTCTCTATCGGCCAGCATTTCCTTATGTCTTTAAATATGTCCTAACTCAAGTCTCTCACCCTTATTTTTAAAAAGAATTAGAAAACCCCAAGTACTTCTCTAGCTATTTACCTTCTTCCCTGTTCCTTTAAAGTCAAGCTTCTTGAACAAGTGTACCTTCTAACTTGTGTATCTATTGTCTTACCTCCCATCCACTCCCCATCTCTTTAACCCTGGCCTCTACCTCAGCTACCACAGTAACAATTGCTCTTGCTAGGGTCACCAGACACACACTTCTTCTCACTAATAAGCCCATCATGTAGTATTTGGCATGATTTAGTATCTTTTCTGCCTTAAAACTTCTTCCTCCCTTGGCTTCCCTGCTACCACTCTCTCCCAGTTCTCTTCATCCCCTTCCAGCTGCTCCTTCCTGTTCTGTTGTCCTCTTAAATGTTTTTTCCCAGGGTCCCAGACTTGCCTTCTTTTCTGTTTATGCTTGAGACTTCTCTAGAATCCATGTTCATTGTTTCATACGTTTCCTGAATGCTGATAAGCACCAAAACAGACCTTTCTAGAACTCTGGATTCATGTTTCTAACTCTCTAAAGGACATGTCCTCCTGAATATACCTCCAAAATCTCAACATAAATAGGTGCAAATTGGAACTAATCATCCTCCCCCAAGCCTTGCTCTTCCTGTGCGATCTCAGTAAATGGCACTACATAATTTCCCAAACAAGATATGAGTCATACTAGAGTCCTCCCTCTCCCTCTACATATTCAAATGGTCACCAGACACACCAATTCTCCAAAATAATAAAATAATAAAGGTTCTTTCTATTTTAAGTATGACTAAGTTAAATATGCCCCACCCCTAATTTTTTTCTTAGGCATAAGCAGAGCCCAAAAAAAAGGAAAGAATACCTGCTCTTGTTAGGTTAAGAAGAATAAAAGAAGTGCTATCACTTGGCTGTAGATCTTGCAACAAGCTAGAAGACTCTGAAGTGGACAAAAACTCCGGGGATTTCTGTACAGTCTGAGCTCTCGTCTCCTCTCCGTCTGGACCCACATTCACCCGAAGGCTTCTCAAAACAGCTGAGGAAGGGACCTCCTTGGAGGAGTTAGAATGATTTGTAGTATCATCTAGTAAAGGGAAAATACCACAGCTTTATGTAGCACCTATCTCTAGGAGCCCACCATTTTGATACACAGCACCCAACATCTCTTGGAAGCTAACATCCTTATAGCAACAGACAGCATTCTCATTACACAAATAAAAACTTTGTCTCACAGAAGAACAGAGAGATGGCTTTATGTTCCAAAGGCAGTCAGCCAAAACGTGAGGAACAGAATTCTCTGTCACTTGGCAGTAATGGTTGGTGAATAACCAACCATTCAACATTTGGACATCACAGAATTTAGTCCTTTTTGAGGCCAGAAATCAGTACTTTCTCCTTGAAAAATATAGCTATACAATGAATACTAACTCAAGAATAGGATCTACATTTTATTTTTCCTGGAGAGAGCTCCCTCTCCTTAACTTTTGTATTAGGTTGGTGCAAAAGCTATTGCAGTTTTTGCCATTACCTTTTTACCTATGGTTGTATCTCAGGCTGCGGTTATTTTTTCTGTGCCACCACACCTGGTTAACTTTTGCATTTTTAGTAGAGAGGGTTTCACCAGCCAGGCTGGTCTCAAACTCCTGACCTTAAGTGATCCACCCACCTCGGCCTCCCAAAGTGCTGGGATTATAGGCATGAGCCACCACGCCCGGCCTGTAATATTGTGTTTTATGAGCTGGGAGGCCAAGTATTTGGATTTTCATTTACTTTTATCTATACTTGTATGTCTAAAATACTTTAAATCAAAATTAAAACTAAAAGAAATGTGGAAAAGAAGGTGAATGCATTTTTTTTTAAATGCATTCATTAGTTGATGAACACTAAAGCTGATTCCATATCTTGGTTATTGTGAATAATGCTGCAATTAACATGTAAGTATAGACATCTTTGACTTACTGATTTCAATTCCTTTGGATATATACCTACAAGTGAGATTGCTGGGTCATATAGTGGCTCCATTTTTAGTTTTCTGAGGAACTTCCATACGGTTTCCATAATGGCTGTACTAACTTACATTCCCACCAACAGTGTACAAAGGTTCCCTTTTCTCCATATCCTTACCAACACTTGTTATCTTCCATCTTTAAGATAACAGTCATTCTAAGGGAAGATGAACGCTGTTGTTTTCATTTCCTTAATTATTGTTTGTTTATACATATATTTTTTAAATTTATTACTATTTCTTTTAGACAGGGTGTTGCTCTATCCACCCAGGATGGAGTACAGTGGTGTGATCACAGCTTACTGCAGCCTCAAACTCCTGGGCTCAAGTGATCTTCCCACCTCAGCTGGGACTACAGCTGCACACCACCATGCCCAGCTAATTTTTAATTTTTTGTAGAGACGAGGTCTCGCCATGTTGCCCAGGCTGGTCTCAATCTCCTGGGCTCAAGCTATCCTCCTGCCTCAGCCTCCCAATGTGCTGGGATTACAGGCACGAGCCACCACACCTGGCCTGTCTTCAACTTTTCTAACTGGTTCTTTCCCCTTAGCATAAAGCAACCCTCAAATATCTCAGATCTTAACACAAACAAAAAATTTCCCTCTATCTTACCGCCTTCTCTTTTTCCTTCTCGTACCAGGAGAGACTTTAGAAAGTATGTATTGATAGGCCTGGCGCAGTGGCTCACGCCTGTAATCTCAGCACTTTGGGAGGCCAAGGCGGACTGATCACTGGAGGTCAGGAGTTCAAGACCAGCCTGGCCAACATGGTGAAACCCCGTTTCTACTAAAAATGCAAAAATTAGCCAGGCATAGTGGCACGCACCTGTAATCCCAGCTACTTAGGAGGCTGAGGCAGGAGAATAGCTTGAACCTGGGAGGGGAGGCGGAGGTTGCAGTGAGCCAAGATTGCGTCACTACACTCCAGCCTGGGCGACAGAGTGACACTCCATCTCAAAAAAAAAAAAAAAAGCAAGTATGTATACTCAAGTCACTGCAGCCTGACTTTCCATCCTCTTCTCTCCATGGAACAGGTTCTGCCAAAGTCAATAATGGAGTCCTTTTAGTCCCTATTTCACTGGGCCTGTCAGTAGCATTTGATACAATGATTTCTCCTGGGTTTCATGCCTCCACTCTGCTGATGTTCATCCAACTATTTTAGTCTTTGTTTCTTCCCTCCTTTACAAGTTCTCCTGCCCTACCCTGTACCTTAAATAAAGAGTTCCATAGTTTTGCACTGACCTTTTTTCCCCACTCTCACACTCTCTGGGTGATCATATCCATTCCTATGGCTTAAACTACCAATGCACTAATGATTTCATGGTTGCTTTTTCTCCATGACTCCTAATTTTTACAGTTTCCACCAGTCAGTTATTAAACGATATATTCATTCCACCAGTAACATAGAGTAGGCTAAGCTCTTAAGACTTCTTTATCCTATTTCTAGTGATCTTAATTTTTACCTGGTAACATTAGCCGACTGCATTCTGAGGCTTCAGTCACGGGAAGGAGGGACAAGCAAGTAATATCTTTAGCTTCTGATTCTACAAGCCCCTGTCCCAATGGGATGGACGTATTCTGAACAAACTGTACCAGGAGCTGGGGGGAGAAAAGACAACACTGAGAAATACGAGTTGTTAGAAATGTATCTAAACCTTTGAATTTACCAAAAGATAATATTAAGACTGTTCACTAGTCTCATCCATATTCAAACAAAAACTAAACAACATAATATCTAAAGTTATTTTATCAAGTTCTCTGTTCTAGAGAACAGCTGATTTATATAAAGTCATGTGCTGCAAAACGACATTTCAGTTAACAGACCACATATAGGATGATGGTCCTGTGAGATTGTAATATCCTATTTTTATTGTACTTTTTCCACGTTTAGATATGTTTAGATACACAATGTTTACCACTGTGCTTCAACTGCCTACAGTATTCAGTACAGTAACATGCTGTATAGGTTTGCAGCCTAGGGGCAATAAGGTATACCATACAGCCTAGAGTGTAGCAGGCTAAACCATACAGGTTTGTGTAAGTATACTCTACCATGTTCGCATAATAATGATATCAACTACCATCATATTTCTCAGAATGTATCTCTATCGCTAAGTGACACTTCACTGTAATTAAGTTAACCTCTGCCACCTTCTGTCAAACAGAGAAATGATAAAAATAATTACATTTTAAAATAATGGCTTAAAAAAAATCAACTGCATCATATTGATTACATTTTACAAAACACTTTTCTGTGTACTGGCTCATTTAATTATCGCATTAACCCAGTAAGATTTAAGATGTATTTTTTTTTGAGACAGAGTCTTGCTCTGTTGCCCAGGCTGGAGTGCAGTGGCATGATCTTGGCTCACTGCAAGCTCCACCTCCTGGGTTCACGCCATTCTCCTGCCTCAGCCTCCCAAGTAGCTGGGACTACAGGTGCCCGCCACCACGCCCAGCTAATTTTTTTTGTATTTTTAGTAGAGACAGGGTTTCACCATGTTAGGCAGGATGGTCTTGAACTCCTGACCTCATGATCCACCTGCCTCGGCCTCCCAAAGTGCTGGGATTACAGGCGTGAGCCACCGCACCCAAACTTAAGGCATATTTTACAGCTGAGGAATAAAATTGAAGACATTAAGTGACTTGTCTAAGGTCACAAGACTAGTTAGGAGCAATGCCAATCCTCAAATTTAAGTAATCTGATTCCAAATTCAGTGACCACTCTGCAACACAGATGTGCTAAATTTAAAGTAAGAAAAGTGAACAACAAAAAATGTTTAAATCCCCAATCACATTTAGAAAGAAAATACTTACAGATATATATAAAATAAACAAAAGAATTTGTAGTAGTAAATATTTATATACTTATACACCTATACATCACATGTATCTCATATTTATGTATATATTTATACATAAACATATATTTTTATTTATAAGATTTTATTACATTATCTAAATGTATGATTTCACATATACTGAAAAACAGATATAAAAACAATCACAAAAAATATAATTTTTAAATCTTTGAAAAAATAGTAACAATCAAAACCATATAGCTTAAAAAACCTAAAATATTTATTATCTGGCCCATTAAAGAAAAAGTTTGCTGACCCCCTAAACTGAAGATAAACTTTGAAATATAGCCCACCAAAAGAAAAGGAAACAAGCTGACTGGGCTCACCTCTGGTTTGGATTCTAACTCATCTGATAACATTGATTCAGCTTCCAAAACCTGTAGCTATTCAGGGGACAAGTTCAAATTTAATTCAGAGCCAATGATACCTTCCTGTTATGTTCATATTCCTCTAGGAAATACTATGCTCTTCCCGTAAGATGTTGTACTAGGTGGGTAATCAATGTAACCTAGAATAGGGGTAAAAAAGAGAGAGGGGGCATTAAGAGCAGTGGGAAAACACAGGTACATAAAGACACTTCTTTACATATACAAAAAAAATCACAACAAGCAAGCAAATAAAGAATTCAAACCGAAACACTTCTTTTAAAATACAACAAGCTCAACAGGCATCAAAACCCATAAAAATACTACGCTTTGATGCAGTATTTCAACCTCTAATAATCTAAAAAACTATCTTAAATATGGATAGAGCTATGTCCAAAGATGTCCGTCTTATCCTATGTAATAAACAACTGGAAGCAATGTATACACACACACACACCCCCAATTAGGGAATGGTTGATTAAATATGGCACTGTCACTTCAAAATATGCTGTGAAGGGTTGGGTGTGGTGGCTTACAACTGTAATCCCAGCACTTTGATAGGCTGAAGCAGGTGGATCACTTGAGGTCAATAGTTCGAGACCAGCCTGGCCAACATAGTGAAACCCCCTCTCTACTAAAAATACAAAAATTAGCTGAGCATGGTCGCAGGCACCTGTAATCCCAGCTACTCGGGAGACTGAGGCAGGAGAATCCCTTGAACCCAGGAGGTGGAGGTTGCAGTGAGCCAAGGTCAGACCACTGCACTCCAGCCTGGGCGACAGAGCAAGACTCTATCTCAAAAAACAAACCAACAAACAAATGCTATGAAGACAATGCAACAACAAGTGACTGACATGTTAAATTATAAAAATAAAATACAAAATTATATACTTGCTATTATTAAAACTAGTTATAATAAGCATCAGAAAAAGTAAAAGGAGATTCATACAGCTATGACCGTAGCTATACCGTGTGGTAGGCTGGTGTGACTTAATTTTCTTTTCTCAATTTTCCAATATTTCTAAAAGGCAACCATATTGTTTTGATAATTTTTAAAATTACATTTAAAAAAAAAAAAGTTAAAATTTGAAGAGCGTTTCCCAAAGGTAGTGCTCTCAGGACCCTGATGCGGCTGTTCTCTCTCTTTTATTTATTTATTTAGAGATGGAGTTTTGCTCTTGTTGCCCAGGCTGGAGCACAATGGCACGATCTCAGCTCACCACAACCTCTGCCTCCCAGGTTCAAGCAATTCTGCCTCAGACTCCTGGAGTAGCTGGGATTACAGGCATGAGACACCACACCTGGCTAATTTTGTATTTTTAGTAGAGACGGTTTCTCCATGTTGGTCAGGCTGGTCTCGAACTCCCAACTTCAGGTGATCCGCCTGCCGTGGCCTCCCAAAGTGCTGAGATTACAGGTGTGAGCCACTGCGCCCAGCCACTCCCTATAACTTAAATTCTTACTTTCTTATAGCTTAGTTTCTTTTCAGGATTTTGGAATGTGAGTCCATTTTATTTTGTACAATTGTTACTAAAATTGGGAGCACTATTACAAATAATCATACAGTGTAAAATGTATCCAGGATGGGTATATTTTCAATCAATGGGTACTTTAAAGTTTCCAATTAATACCAGGTAGTGTGGAAAGGTAGAACAAGACAGACTTTACAAAGAGGGCACTTAGGCTGGGCACGGTGGCTCACGCCTGTAAACCCAGCACTTTGGGAGGCCGAGGCGGGTGGGTCACCTGAGGTCAGGAGTTCAAGACCAGCCTGGCCAATATGGCGAAACCCCGTCTCTACTAAAAATACAAAAATTAGCCGGGCATGTGGCGGGTGCCTGTAATCCCAGCTACTCGGGAGGCTGTGGCAGGAGAATCGCTTGAACCCGAGAGATGGAGGTTGCAGTGAGCTGAGACTGCGTCACTGTACTCCAGCCTGGGCGACAGAGCAAGACTCCATCTCAAAAAAAAAAAAAAGTAACTGAATAAATGTTTTTTTGTCCTGTTGGTTTCTCCCTCTCTCTTTCTAAGCTACCTGAAATCCTCATTTTTCATTGTAAAAAAGTAACCATTTAGGCCGGGAGCAGTGGCTCACGCCTGTAATCCCAGCATTTTGGGAGGCCGAGGCAGGCGGAACACAAGGTCAGGAGATTGAGACCATCCTGGCCAACATGGTGCAACTCCGTCTCAACTAAAATACAAAAAATTAGCTAGGTGTGGTGGCATGTGCCTGCAGACCCAGCTACTCAGGAGGCTGAGGTAGGGGAATCGCTTGGACCTAGGAGATGGAGATTGCAGTGAGCCGAGATCGCTCCACTGTACTCCAGCCCGGGCGACAGAGCAAGACTCTGTGTCGAGAAAAAAAAAAAAAAAACTAACCATTTACAAGATATAAATGGAAATGCTCCTTCCAAGTTTCCCACATAAAGTATCATAAATCCCTGACTTTTCTTCCACACATATTTTTCTTATTCAAGCACTGCAACAGTTTCATATGGTTTATCCATCCCTCTATTTAGAGAGGAAGGAACCAAGGCTCAGTATATTACTTAATTACCAAGTTATTAAGTTGCAAAGCCAGGACTCCCACCCACACCAGAAGTATGCAGAAATCATTGGCGTGAATAGTGATTACATCTCTCTAGGTTTGACCCTGAATCTCCATGGCCTAAGAATTCCTTTTCTCAGCCTAGGCAACACAGTGAGACCCTATTTCTTTTTTTTTTTTTTTTTTTTTTGAGACTGAGTCTCGCTCTGTCACGCAGGCTGGAGTGCAGTGGCGCGATCTCAGCCAGTGAGACTCTATTTCTACAAAAAAAAATTTTTCAATTAGCATCACATGGTGGCACATGCCTGTGGTCCTAGCTACTAGGGAGGCTGAGTAGGAGGATTGCTTTAGCCCAGGAGATCGAGGCTGCACTGAACAGTGATCACGCCACTGCACTCCAGCCTGGGTAACAAATGGAGGCTGTCTCAAAAAAAACAAGAATTCCTCTTCCCCAATTCCAGCTTGTCTTAACAAGCCAAGAAATTATCAGATGTTTGTTGTTTAAGTCATCCTTAAGGTTCCTCCAACTTTGAGATTCCAGGATTGTAAAATCTCTGAGGAACCAGACAACTATTTACTGTCCTTTTTATGTTATCTATGACATCTTTTTATTTCAGTGTTTTCACTTCAATAATCTTTAAAAATTAACACGAGCATTTTCTCAAGCACTGGGTATTCATATTATAACTAAGTACTACCATACAATTTTTGTGTCCAAGTTTATGATTTGTATGTGTACGGTATGAATAAAATAAAAAATAGCAGGATGCATTAAGATATGCAACTGAACTCAAAAGAATTTGTACTAGAGCACTCAGTATCTTATCAAGTGTACTGTGGGGATCTCATCTTTAACAGAGCAACGTACTATGTACATTAGCTATAGGTGTAACGGCAAATACACAATTAAACATTCCTATTCCCAATTCCTTACTCAACAGATTTCCAAAACTGCAATGTAAATCTTTTTTAAAAATTAGTTTCACTAAGATATCGTTCACATACCATACTATTGACTCATTTAAAGAGTACAATTAAAATATCTTTAGTTCATTCAGAGTTGTACAAGCAGAACCACGATCAATTTTACAATATTTCATCACCTCACAAGGAAACCCTGTGCCCATTAACGGTCACTTCCCACTTCTAATGTGTTTACTATGAGCTTAAAGGGCTTCCATACAAGCTTCCCAGTAAGCAACTGGTAGGTACTAAATATTTGTATAATGAATGAATGACACTACAAATGATACCTACATTTTTCTCTAGTCATCTCTTCTGAACTCCAAACCTTCATTTCTAACTGCTTGCTAGGTATCTCCACATGTATATCCAACAGCATCTCAAACCTAACAATGTCCAAAATCCAGATTATTATCTTCCTTACCAAACCTGTTCTTCTTGTATTACCTATTTCAATGATCGCCCAATCTTCCTCCCACTCAGCTGCAAATTCTAGGTCTTTAAATCTCTCTCATTCTCCATTTTTAAATAATTCCCGTGATTCTCTGTTCCCAGAATGTTCTCTGTTCCCTACTGTAATGCCCTGTTTAGGTCTCTCAGTAACTTTCTACTATACTATTAAAACAGGCCTCTAACTGGTCACCCCGCGTTTAAAATTCCTCTTTCCAATACATCCTTTATGCAGCCATTCAAGTTATCTTTCCAAAACAAAGAAATGCTTATGTCACTTCTACTCAAAGTTCAGTGCCTCGGAAAAATTGTCATAGCCCTAAAGGTAAACCCCTTCGTTTACAGAAAAACTCCCCAGAGCTAGAGATTCAGCAACTTGCCAAAAATTAGACATCTACTTAGATGCAAAACGTAAAAAACTAGAACTTAAAACTTCTGACTGCTACTTTAGTTGTCTTTTACTCTGCACCACACTAAGAAAAAACCAAGTGCAATTTCTCACTCCCTAACAAAATGCCCGACTTTATTTCCAAATGTTTTTTATTTATTGCAAATATGCTGCGTTGACCTTCGTTCCAACCTAAGTACTAATTCTTAAGTCCCAAGTTAATAATATTTAACTTCCAAATGGTGCCTAAATGCATTTCTGAGCCTCATGATCAAGTGGGATAAACTTTAATAAATTGGATTATCTTGAGAAACTTCAGAAAATAAATTCGACACGAAATGTATGAAGGCCGTAAACAATCCACACACTCCTGCCCCCCGAACTGACAGGCAAAGGAGAAACGGGCGACCCAGCCCAGCCGAGTAGGCAGCTGTCCCTTTTCCAAACCCAGAAAGTAAGTGGTATGAAAGGAGAGGGTAGCTCTGGACTGAAACATTCAGGGCAAGGCCTCCTGGCATCCTCTACCCCACACCACAAAGGCCTCAGAAATAAGGCCCCAAGGTCCGTAGGCAGGCCCCGGCTGCGGGTGCAGTCCAAGAGCCCCCGCCCCGGGGACTCGCTGACTCTGGCTTTCTCAGGACAGTCTGTTCCTATATCCCTACCCCCAAAACCAAGCAAAGGAGCAAGAACATCGCCCCTAAAAACCCGCGAGGGGAAGGGCCAAAGCCGCAGGGCTTCAGACTGGCCGCTCCCGGGCCCGCCAGATCCAGGAGGGATGCCCAAGGAGGGCGGTTTCCTCTCTCGGGGCGAACTCGGCCCCAGGCCCCAAGTAGCCGGTACTGGCCCCCGCCCTCTCGGGTACTACCTAACCGAGGAGGGGTGGCCAGGCCCACCTCGGAGCTCACCTTCCAGTTCCGGGAAGCCGGCCGGCCGTCAGTCGGTCCCGAATTCCGTCCACACACAGCGTCTTCCGGCTCCCGCCGGAAGCAGCTCGAGCGCGGGACAGGAAGTTTGGCTGACCCCCCACGCACACACCCACTCGCTCGCCTCAGTGTCGTGTGGCTGCCGCACTGCTCGGGACCCAGACGTCAAGGGTGCTGGCGGGGCCTCCCCAGGCCCGCGACGCAGGGCTCCGCCCCGGACAGGAGGAGCCGCAGCCGCCCCGCTCCCACTCACTCACTCACTCTCGGCCTTCGGGACTCCTATGTCCGCGAAGCCCGAAAAAACAGGTCAGCTAATTCGTTGACGTCACTGCCACCCCGCAGTAGCGGAGGGAGTAGTTTTTCCCATCAGCGGAGGCGTTGCAATGGAGGCAAACGCGAAAGAAAAGATCACTGCTTAAACATTTATCAAAGGTCTCCATGGAGAGGACCTTCGAAGTTTCACCGCCCGAGAAAGGAACTTGCAGAATCAAGTTTTGCATTATATACGGGACGGGGTATGCAGTGAGTCTGGGTTCCGTGTTGTAATTAGGATGTAAAGAGCTCTTGGATGTCCCGACTGCGGGCTTGAACACTTGACTTCCAAGCTGGATGCCACCTTGTTAAAGCTTTGTGAGTTTGACTGACTTCTTGAAATTACTTATTTTAAAATATTTGCGTGCGGAAGAATGAGAGACTCAACCGTGGGAATTAAAGGAGTTCTCTTTAAAAAGGCATTTTCAAGGTTAAAGATAAGCCTTGATGACAGGTTTGGGTACACAAATTACTAATGGTGATTTAAAATAAAGGAGAAACATTTCAGAGGAAGATAATTCCACTTTAGAAAAGCAGAGTAGGCCGGACTCCGTGGCTCACGCCTTTAATCCCAGCACTTTGGGAGGCTAAGGTGGGCGGATCACGAGGTCAGGAGATCGAGACCATCCTGGGTAACGCCGTGAAAACCCGTCTCTACTAAAAACACAAAAATTAGCCGGGCGTGGTGGCACGCGCCTGTAATCCTAGCTACTCGGGAGGCTGAGGCAGGAGAATCGCTTGAACCCGGGAGGCGGAGGTTGCAGTGAGCCGAGATCGTGCCGCTGCACGCCGGGCGACTGAGCAAGACTCCATCTCAAAAAAGAAAAGAAAAGAAAAAAGCAGAGTATAAGATGCAATCCAGAGTTGAGGATATTTACTTGGAGGTAAAGGTCCAGTGCTCAAGAAAGAGGTCAGAAATACAGATGGAGATTTGGGAGTTAGCAACATACAGAGAAAAGTGAAACCCCCTCAGGCGATGAAATGGTCCAGGAAAAGTAACAAAAAAGGGCCACTCACGAAAACTGGGGAGGCTGATTACCAACACAGTTTGAATCTACTTATTACAAATGTTGCATACAAAAGTATATTGGCAGTGTGTAGACAATCATAAGCCAAAACATTCAGAAACAATAATCTTCAGTTTTACTGTTCTGCGAGGGTTGAGTACAATTAATAAAACAAACTTTTGAGGTACATCAGTAGTTCCTGAACATTCATGTTTACAAACATTTGTTAATTTGCCCAGTCCTGTCATTTTCTGAAACTGTCTTTGTTGTCAATCTGTTTTTGTTTTTTGAGATGGAATTTCACTCTTGTCGCCCAGGCTGGAGTGCAATGGTGCAAGCTCAGCTCACGGCAACCTCCCCCTCCCAGGTTCAAATGATTCTCCAGCCTCAGCCTCCTGAGTAGCTGGGATTACAGGCGTGTGCCACCACGCCCAGCTAATTTTTGTATTTTTAGAGAGATGGGGTTTCACCGTGTTGGCCAGGCTGGTCTTGAACTCCTGACCTCAAGTGATCTGCCCGCCTCTGCCTCCCAAAGTGCTAGGATTACAGGCTTGAGACATCAGGCCCGGCTGTCAATCTTTTTAATCACCTACAAGTGATGTTTACATCTGTTTGCCCTCTCAATCTTTACAACTTGACAGTATGTGCCTGCTAACCTAAAATAAACATATGCTTTTCTCAATATATATGGAGTTTTTAGGCTATACAGTAAATTATTTGGCAAATACAAAGAGATGATCCTCTGGAGTAAATCTTGTCAACTTAACCAACCTAAGTTATTTATCTTCCCATACTAATCCCAACCCAAAACCGCTGGTCTCCTATCCCAAAAACTGTTACACAAGCTCCGAAACCCCCAATCCTGCCCCCAGTCCCTATGTACACATCATACCATTAAGTCTCTTTTCAGTCTACAATGTGAAAAAAAGGCCATCTCAATTCTATTTTTACACCAAGTTTCAGTTTAAGAATCATGTAAAACATTTCCAGTTCAACAAATCTTTACTCAGTGCCTCTCAAGCATTCTATTTTATTTTAAGCATTCTATTTTAAATTAATAAAAGTTATTAATATTAATTTTAAAAAACCTATTGTGTATGATTCATTAATGGTTGTATCAGATCATGTAAAACGTTTCCAGTTTAACAAATCTTTACAAAGTGCCTCTCAAGCGTTCTATTTTAAATTAATAAAAGTAATTACTAAAAGTTATTAATTTTTAAAAACCTATTGTGTATGATCCATTAATGATTGTATCAAATACCCTATGCAACTAAAAATAACACCTATGATCACATTTAAATCAAGAGCTATGTATAGTCTAAGGATTTTTTAACATATCTTTGAAAATATGCAAAATGGAAAAGAAATCTATGATTGCCTTGATGACATTTACAGCAATTACAAAGAGATTTCTTCTGAAATGCAAACTATCTGCTTTCCAATGTTACCTCCTGTCATCATGGACTGGAATGCAGCTGGAAAAAGAGAAAGTAGGTTATCTGAAAAGATAAATGTCACTATCATACTTGTTTCCAAAAGGTACAACATATAAAATTATGTTAAATAACTTTTTCAATGATTTTGAATATTAAGCATAGAAGAAAATGGTCATGAAAAGAAATCTCAAGTAAAAAGTTACACACAAACTAACCCAATTAACATCTTAAAAAAATGTTTTGCCCATACTGGAAAGATTTAATTGGTATCTAACTGGTATGCACATCAATGTTCATTGTTTACAGTATCTGAAGACTAGAGGCAAAAAAAAATGGGAATAAAATGTGAGTGAAGGCCGGGCATGGGGCCTCACGACTGTAATCCCAGCACTTTGGGAGGCCAAGGTGGGTGGATCACTTGAAGTCAGGAGTTTAAGACCAGCCTGACCAACATGGTGAAACCCCATCTCTACTAAAAATACAAAAATCAGCTGGGAGTGGTGGTGTGTGCCTGTAGTCCCAGCTACTCGGGGGGCTAAGGTGGGAGCATCACCTGAACCTGGGAGGTAGAGGCTGCAGTGAGCCATGATCGCACCACTGCACTCCAGCCCGGGTGACAGAGCATGGCCCTGTCTCAAAAATTAAAAAAAGGGCTAGGCACTCACACCTGTAAATTCCAGCACTTTGGGAGGCTGAGGCAGAAGGATCATTTGAGGCCAGGAGTTGCCTGGACAATATAGTGAGACCCTGTTTCTATGGAAAATTAAAAAAAAAAAAAAGGTTGGGCATAGTGGCAGGTAATTGTAGTACCAGCTACTCTGGTGAGAGGATTGCTTGAGCCCATGGGTTCATAAGTTACAGTTAGCTATGATCATGCCACTGCACTCCAGCCTGGGCAACAGAGCAAGATCATCTCTTTAAAAAAAAAAAAAAAAAAAAAAAAAAAAAAAAGGGAGGTGAGGGGAGGGAAGGGCAGGGAAGGGGAGGCCAGAGAGGTAGCATTAAAAGATAAAAGACTTTGGCCTGTGCGGTGGCTCACGCCTGTAATCCCAGCACTTTGAGAGGCCGAGGCAGGCAAATCACTTGAATTCAGGAGTTCAAGACCAGCCTGGCCAATATGTTGAAACCCTGTCTCTACTAAAAATACAAAAATTAGCCAGGCATACCAGTGCACGCCTGTAGTCCCAGCTACTTGGTAGACTGAGGCAGGAGAATTGCTTGATCTCGGGAGGTGGAGGTTGCAGTGAGCCAAGATCATACCACTGCACTCCAGCCTGGGAGACAGAGCAAGACTCCGTCTCAAAAAAAAAAAAAAAAAAAAAAAAAAAAAAAAAAAAAAGGGCCAGGCGTGGTGGCTCACGCTTGTAATCCCAGCACTTTGGGAGGCCAAGGCAGGCAGATCACGAGGTCAGGAGATCGATACCATCCTGGCTAAGACAGTGAAACCCCGTCTCTACTAAAAATACAAAAAATTAGCCAGGCGTGGTGGCAGGCGCCTGTAGTCCCAGCTACTTGGGAGGCTGAGGCAGGAGAATGGCGTGAGCCTGGAAGGCGGAGCTTGCAGTGAGCTGAGATCATGCCACTACACTCCAGCCTGGGCAACAGAGCAAGACTCCGTCTCAAAAATAAATAAATAAAAATAAAGAGACTTTATCTTTGTGTGCTGAGCATGTGTATATAATAAGTCTACATTCATCTTACCTCCCATGTTTTCCAACCCATTTATTACCGTCTCTTTAATCTGTAAATCAAAATAGCTAGATTTAATAGTCTTTAAACTTCAATGTTTCTATATGATAGTTTCCATACTTACAAAAGCCAGCAATACTATTTAGCACTTTGTCTAAAAATAGATATTCTTTATTTCATGTAGGTAGCCCAGAAAAGCTTCCTATCAATTGATTTTTTAAAGTAATATCCTATTTTCCCATTGTTTAATCTCTTCAATTAGTAACAGATCACAAGCTATACACTCTAAAACAGAAAAAGAACAGTACAGAAGCACACAAAGGTACAACTTTGCTTATCATTTGCAGGTTTCAAGAATAGCCTAGGCCAGTCCAGGTGCACTGGTTCACAACTGTAATCCCAGCACTTTGGGAGGCTGGATGGGCAGAACACTTGAGGTCAGGAGTTTGAGACCAGCCTGGCCAACATGGTGAAACCCCATCTCTACTAAAAATACAAAAATTAGCTGAGCGAGTGGCATGTGCCTGTAATCCCAGCTACTCGGGAGGCTGAAGCAGAATAATTGCTTGAACCTAGGAGGCGGAGGTTGCAGTGAGCCGAGATTGCGCCACTGCACTACAGCCTGGGTGACAAAGTGAGACTCCGTCTCAAAAAAAAAAAAAAAAAAAAAAAAAAAAAGAATAGCCTAGGCCAGTATGTCTGAAGCCCAGATTAATAACTCCTGATTTTCGATCAACAACTAAGACATACATTAGAATGTCCAGGGAGGACAGGGAAGAAGTATGGTGGTATAAGCATCAGGAGGTGCTCACATTATTTTTGAGAAAGCACAGCTTCTAACACATAGTAGCATCCCATAAATATTTGTTAAATTAATAAACATAATTTTACATTTGGGGGAAAACCTAATGATTTTGTAATATAATCTATGGAAAGTAAAGCTAAAAAATTTTAGATAAAGGGAATAACAAGCAAGGGTTTGTTGATCAGGAGGTTATACTCACCTGGGAGGTAGAGTTAATTTATAATATTCAGCATACTTTTCTTTTGTAGGAATTTTTATAATGAAACTAGTATGTTTGCTATAGTACATTTAAATAATGCAAAATTATATCAAGTAGCAGGAAGAATTATATTGATAAAGAATAGAAGTTCTACCTTTAGCTTTCCTTCTTTAAACCACTGACTCAGCTGTAGAATGCCAGGCTCAAATTTGTCTTTATAATTTAATACCAGAAATCTTTCCCTGCAGTGAGGAAGAAAAGGATAATGATCAGAGAATATAACGGGAGTGGTATTCCAAGATCAAACCATTCCAGAATTCTAATATCTGTTAATCCTTAAAATATTAGGACATAACACATTGAGTCTGATCAGATAGTTTTATGCATAGTTACAGGTGTAAATGTAGACTTCTATTAATAATTTTTCAAGACCAGCCTGGCCAACACGGTGAAACCCCCGTCTCTACTAAAAATACAAAAAAATTAGCCGGGCATGGTAGTGAGCGCCTGTAGTCCCAGCTACTCGGGAGGCTGAGACAGGAGAATCGCTTGAACCTGGGAGACGGTGGTTTTAGTGAGCTGCGATCGCGCCACTTTACTCCAGCCTGGGCGGCTGAGCGAGACTCCATCTCAAATAATAATAATTTTTGTCTGCCCAGTATCTACAACCCCATTTGTTAATAGCACCGTGAATTTTTCCTTTGTGGGTAGCATCCTTTCTCGACCCTCATGTGACTTAACCCAGGCCAGTCAAAGCCAATAACTATCAGTTTTCAGGTAGCTAGTTAGCCAGAACCTAAATATTGAACCAGCTTAAAAAATGTGTATTTTAAAGGTTTTTTTTTGTTTTTTTTTTTTTGTTTTTTTGAGATGGAGTTTCGTTTTCATTGCCCAGGCTGGATGGAGTGCAGTGGCATGATTTTGGCTCACTGCAACCTCCACCTCCCAGGTTCAAGTGATTCTCCTGCCTCAGCCTCCCAAGTAGCTGGGATTACAGGCGCCCATCACTACACCCGGCTAATTTTTTTGTATTTTTAGTAGAGAAGGGGTTTCACCATGTTGGCCAGGCTAGTTTTGAACTCCTGGCCTCAAGCAATCCACCCGTCTCGGCATCCCAAAGTGCTAGGATTACAGGCATAAGCCACTATGCCCGACCTAAAGTTTTATTTAATAAAGAAAAAGTGTCTATGAAGAACAATAGATTTCATACACATCTATGATATTTAAAACCCCATGAACCTGGTAATAAGGGCAAAGAGGAAGAACACACCTTGTGATGTTTCTTTCTTTCTGGATTGCCTCTATAGCAGGGGATAGCGGGGGAGGATAAGGCACATCTTTGTTGTACTGAGAAATTTGACCACACAGGATGATGTGGCTGTTCTCATTCATCTGCACAGAGAAAAATAATGATAAAATATCCCTTTCCTATGTTTACTGATTTTATGGCTGCCATAATGGAAGCCTCCTTGACTATTTAATCCTTTCTGTCAACTAGTTCGATTTTTTTTTTAATTTACCTGTTAGAGGTATTTAAGAATTTTAACTAGCTAGAAATAATTACATTCCAAAGGAACACCAAGGCAAATAAATGGTTGGTAATCAGCAAAAGAATTACATTAGTTGTTGTTGCTACTTATTAGTGGTAGAACTGTATTTTTTTGGATTTAAACAATTTAATAATCTCAACTGCAAATAATTTTAGATGCAGCAAAGGACTATGTAGTGTTAATACCTCATGTTGATATTTTATAATATTGTTAGTAAATATGCATAAATACATGCAGCCTATGAAACCCATAGGTCTGGGGCCATGGCTGTGAGTTGGTCAGTGGTGAGTTAGGGATCAGTGCTTCAGCATTTCAACAATGCAACTGTAATTTTTCACAAAAATAAACCAAAAGTGAAAAATATAATATTGGTAGCAAATAACTGAAATTGAAGTTCATAGTACAAATCTGCAAGTAAATGGAAGTAGGTATCAGCAAGCTCTTTTGTATCACTTAAATACAATACTGATCATCACATTAAGTCACAATAATCCCTCCAATTTTATAAATTTTTTTCTCAGTATTAGGTAAAAAGATATCACAACATATAAAGTGCAGTATTCAAATTTGTTATAGAAATCAGCAAACAACCTGACTTATCACTGTATCACTGATGTTACCACCAACATTGTCAAAATAAACATCCACTCCAGCTGGGCATGATTCACGGAGCTGTTCTGCCACATTGTCTTTTTTATAATTAATTGCAGCATCAAAGCCCAGTTCTGAGGTCAAGAGGATGCATTTCTCATGTGTTCCACAAATTCCCACCACTCTGGAACAACCTAAGAAATGGCCAATCTAGGGGGGAAATTTGAAGATTAAATGGCTTTATATTGTCACATTTAAATGTAAAAATGTACCAGTATACAAGATATTACAGGTATATGACAGTGTTCATTACAATTAAGGTTAGATTACGCTGCTTTTAATGAAAAGTAATTTGAAACTAAAAGAACTGAGGGCAGACAATGTCATCCTAAAAAAAAATTATTAAAATTGAACAAAGGTAGACTTATGTTCCTCAACTTATGATAGGGATATGTCCCAATAAAACCATCATTAGTTGAAAATATCCTAAGCAAAAAATGCATTTAATATACCTAACCTACTGAACATCATAGCTTAGCCTAGCCTACCTAAAACATGCTCAGAACACTTATGGCTGGGCAAAATCATCTGGCAACACAGTACACCGTAGAGTACCAGTTGTTTACCCTTATGGTCATTGTCAAAATAAACATCCACTCCAGCTGGGCATGATTCACGGAGTTGTTCAGCCACATACGGTGGCTGACCAGGAGCTACAGCTTGTTGCCGCTGCCCAGCATCTCGAGAGAGTGTCATACTGATATCGCTAGCCTGGGAAAAGACCAAAATTCAAAATTCAAAGTATGGCTTCCACTGAATGCATAGGGCTTTTGCATCACTGTAAAGTAGAACCATCATAAGTTGGGGACCATAGGTAGTTTAAATGTTAAAATCTCACAATTTTTGGCTTTCACTCATTGAAAAATATAAAATCAAAGAATAATAATTAAATTTAAAAAAATAAAATTTCGCAAATTAAATCTGATTTCATAAAAGGAATAAATAATCAGACCCAAAACATCACGTGCAATTCATTATTTTTCAAGCTTGTGGCGAACTAAAATCACAGCTCGGACACAATGTTTGTTTTCAATGGTTTCAACCTATAAAGGCTATTATTTATAAAAGGATGTACTTTTATAAGATTCTTTTTTTGTTTTTTTAAAGAAACAGGGTCTGTCACCCAGGCTGGAGTACAGTGGTGCAATCATAGCTCACTGTAACTTCAAACTCCTGGGCTGAAGTACTCTTCCTGCCTCAGCCTCTCAAGTAGTTAGGACAACAGGCGTGCCACCACGCTGGGCTAATTTATTTACTGAAGAGTCTTACTATGTTGCCCAGGCTGGTCTTGTGCTCCTTTCCTCAAGTAATCCTGCCAAGTTGGCCTCCCAAAGCACTGGGATTGCAGGCATGAGCCACTGTGCCAGGCCGACTTCATAAAATTCTATCAAAATGTTTACACTTCTAGAATTCAATAAGTGGTTTCTTATTTGAGGATATTAATTTAAAATGTGAGTTTGACTTTTAATTCATGCAATTCCAAACAGCTTCTCTATCATTCTCTTCCTTATAATAATGAAAGCAAAGCTTTAGCATTTACTATATCTCCTTTTGGTTAACAGAGAATAAGACACTAAAATCTACATTTTTCATACTGTTAGTAAGAGAGTCTAAGTAGGTAAAAAAAAAAAACCATTTCTACAAGAAACGTGTGAAAGTCATTATAAATTTAGTCAATTTTGGCTGGGCGTGGTAGCTCACACCTATAATCCCAGAACTTTGGGAGGCCGAAGCAGGTGGATCTCTTGAGGCCAGGAGTTCGAGAACAGCCTGGCCAACATGGCAAAACCCCATCTCTACTAAAAATACAAAAATTAGCCAGGTGTGGTGGCACACACCTGTAGTCCCAGCTACTCTAGAGGCTAAGGCATGAGAATCTCTTGAACCCAGGAGGCGGAGGTTGCAGTGAGCCAAGATTGCGCCACTGCACTCCAGCCTGGAGACTCTGTCTCAAAAAAGAAAAAAAAAATTTATCCAATTTTATATTTTTAATGGTATACATATATCCGGAATTTCAATTAAGAATTATAACAATCGTCAAATAATCAGAAAATCAAATAATTCTCAGAAAGTTTACCTGCCCAGCCACAGATCCACAGGCACCTGCGGCCCCACTGACAACCATTGTCTTATTAGATCCAGCAGTTATATGACCTTTTTCCTGTATCCCAATCAAGGAAGTCAAACCAGGCATACCTATAGCTCCAAGAAAATATGAAAGGTGTCCATCCACAAGTTGTGGGTCTACCTAAAATAAAATATATACCCTTTAAAAATACTAGGAATTCCTGTTTTGAGACAACAAAGTAGAGACAACGTGTTATGGACTGAATTGCGTCCCCACAACATTTATATAGTAAAGCCCTAAGCCCCAGTGTGACTTTATTTGGAGATAGGCACTTAAAGGAGACATTTAGGATTGAATGAGGACATAAAGGTGGGGTCCTAGTCCAACAAGACTTGTGTCCAGGCCGGGCACAGTGGCTCACATCTGTAATCCCAGCACTTTGGGAGACCGAGGCAGGCGGATCACCTGAGACCAGGAGTTCGAGACCAGCCTAGCCAACATGGCGAAACCCCATCTCTACTAAAAATACAAAAAATTAGCAAGGCATGGTGGCATGCGCCTGTAATCCCAGCTACTCAGGAGGCTGAGGCAGGAGAATCGCTTGAACCCAGGAGGTTGCAGTGAGCTGAGATCATGCCACTGCACTCCAGCCTGGGCGACAGAGTTAGACTTCATCTCAAAAAAAAAAAAAAAAGGACTTATGTCCTTAGAAGAAGAAGAAACAAGATCTATCTCTCTGCACACCCACAGAGGAAAGACTGCCTGAGGACACAGCAAGAAGGCAGCCATCTGCAATCCAGGAGGAGGGGCCTCACCAGAAACCAAATTTTCCAGAACTCTGATCTTGGACTTTTAGCTTCCAGAACTGTGAGAAAATAAATTTCTGTTGTTTAAACCACCCAGCCTGTAGTACTCTGTTATGGCAGTCCATCAGTATAATAAATAACCCAATATGGTTTATAGAAGAGTAAACCATTCATCAGTCTTGCTAAAATTCTATACTTTATTTGTAAAGAGTAAAAAACAATATTACTTCTCTTTATATTAAAGAAACTTTAAGGCCGGGTGCGGTGGCTCACGCCTGTAATCCCAGTACTTAAGGAGGCTGAGGTGGGTGGATCATGTGGTCAGGAGTTCAAGACCAGCCTGGCCAAAATGGTGAAACCCCGTCTCTACTAAAAATACAAAAAATTAGCCAGGTGTGGTGGTGGGTGCCCAAAACCCAGCTACTCAGAAGGCTGAGGCAGAGAATTGTTTGAACCTGGGAGGTGGAGGTTGCAGTGAGCCAAGATTGTGCCACTGCACTCCAGCCTGGGCGACAAAGCAAGACTCCATCTCAAAAAAAAAAAAAAAAAAAGAAACTTTTAAAAAATTTCCCATGTAAGAGACAAAATATTCTTTCTTGTTAATGCCCCAAGTATGGGAAAAAAAAAAAAAAAGGAAGTGCTTAACAGAAAAATACTTGGCAACAATGGAAGATCTTTAAGTCTCTGAGCAATTCCAACATAAACATGTACCTATAAATATCAACTCAGGCCGGGTACAGTGGCTCACGCCTGTAATCCCAGCACTTTGGGAGGCCAAGGCGGGTGGATCATGAGGTCAGGCATTCAACACCACCCTGGCCAAGATGCTGAAATCCCATCTCTACTAAAAATACAAAAATTAGCCAGCCATGGTGGTAGACGCCTGTAATCCCAGCTACCCAGGTGGCTGAGGCAGGAGAATCGCTTGAACCCAGGTGGCAGAGGTTGAAGTGAGCCGAGATCGCGCCACTGCGCTCCAGCCTGGGCAACAGAGCAAGACTCTGTCTTGAAAAAAAAAAAAATCAACTCAAACTCCAACAGTTCTCATTACTAATGCTTAAAATGTACCATTAAGGCTGGGCACAGTGGTTCACACCTGTAATCCCAGCACTTTGTGGGGCTGAGGCGGGAGGATCGGTTGAGGCCAGGAGTTCAAGACCAGCCTGGGCAACATGGTAAGACTCTTGTTTCTACAACAAGTTTAATAAAAATGGCTGGGTGCAGTGACTCACGCCTGTAATCCCAGCACTTTGGGAGACCAAGACAGACAGATCACTTGAGGTCAGGAGTTTGAGAACAGCCTGGCCAACATGGCAAAACCCCATCTCTACTAAAAATAAAAAAAATTAGCTGGGCGTGGTGGTGCACACCTATAATCCCAGCTACTCGGGAGACTGAGGTGGGAAGATCACTTGAACCCAGGAGGCAGAGGTTGCAGTGAGCCAAGATCACTCCAGCCTGGGTGACAGAGTGAGACGCCGTCTCTAAATAAATAAAGTCATTAGCAGACCCAGTCAGGCTATTACCTATTCTTTTGGCAGCTGCTCTGAAACAACTTTTATTACCTGAGAGACTTTATCTACAATAAGATAACCTTTGTTTACCATGCAATTCCTCCCCTTTCCCTTTTTGTTGCCATTTCCCCCAAAAACCTCAAGCCCCATTCCTTTAGCTATAAAAACTTCAAGCTCACACCTGTAATCTCAGCACTTTGGGAGGCTGAGGTGGGAGGATTGCTTGAGCCTAGGAGTTTGAGACCAGCCGGGGCAACACAGTGACAACCCATCTCTAAAACAAACAAACAAGCAAAGAAACAAATAAAGAACACCTTCAACCATCTGGTCCCTCCTTTGAGTCTCCTATTCTTCTGTGAGGCTCCAGTGCACATACATGAATTAAAATGGTTTTTCTCCTGTTAATCTGTTTATTGTCAGTTTATTTTAGCAGGCTCAATTATCAAACCTTCAGAAGGACAATTTAAACTTCCCTACACAGCTAACAGTGGAAAAGGAACAAAGGCTTTCCACATTTTGGCAGCTAGCTAAAAGAAAATATATGCTTTTATTTTTCCCTGATTACAAACACAACTGAATATCAAATGCACAAAGTAAGAATTATACGGGGAAAAAAAATCAGATATGTTCATATATATATCACCTTTTCAAGGCTATTTCCATCCAGAATAACCTTGGTTTGCCAGGGCCAATAGAAAGAAGTCACAAAATCGCCTTTAGTCAAATTTGTGTGTTTGCTTTCTTCTATAATTCCAATACCTCCTCCATCAACGACTTGAGATAGCTGCCAAGGTGTTATATAATCAGTGCCAGTGTCTTCATTCATTCTACAACGCTGAAAAAAGAAAACATTAAGATAATTTTATCCAATAATGTCAAACCACTCTACTAATTTACCCAATGACTAAAAGCATATAATGAGTAATATATTGCACACAATACATAAAAATCAACTCAAAATACATTCAAGACTTAAACATAAGACCTGAAACAACATAGTGACTATAGTTAATAACAATGTATTATATACTTGAAAATTGCCACTGGCTGGGAACAGTGGCTAACAATGTATTGTATACTTGAAAATTGTCACTGGCTGGGAACGGTGGCTCAGGCCTATAATCCTAGCACTTTGGGAGGCTGAGGCGGGCAGATCACTTGAGGTCAGGAGTTCAAGAACAGCCTGGCCAACATGGTGAAACCCCATCTCTGCAAAAATACAAAAATTAGCCAGGCATGATGGCGGGTGCCTGTAATCCCAGCTACTCAGGAGGCTGAGGCAGGAGAATCAATTGAACTCGGGAGGTGGAGGTTGCAGTGAGCCAAGATTGCACCACTGTACTCCATCCAGCCTGGGCAACAAGAGCGAAACTCCGTCTCAAAAAAAAAAAAGAAAAGAAAAGAAAAAAAGAAACTTGCCATAAGGGTAGATTCTAAGTGTTCTCACCACAAACAATAAGTATGTGATATAATCCATGTTAATTAGCATGTTAGCATGATATAGCCACTGCACAATATAAACATATTTCTTTTTTCTTTTTCTTTTTTTTGACATGGAGTTTCGCTCTCTTTGCCCAGGCTGGAGTACAATGACGCGATCTAGGCTCACTGCAACCTCTGCCTCCTGGGTTCAAGCGATTCTCCTGCCTCAGCCTCCCGAGTAGCTGGGATTAGAGGCATGTGCCAACATGCCTGGCTACTTTTGTATTTTTAGTAGAGATGTGGTTTCTCCATGTTGGTCAGGCTGGTCTCGAACTCCCAACCTCACGTGTACTGCCCGCAGCCTCTCAAAGTGCTGGGATTACTGGCATGAGCCACCACGCCTGGCCTGTAAACATTTCAAAACATCATGTTGTACACCATAAAAAAAATTTTTTTTTTTTTTGAGATGGAGTCTCTGTCACCCAGGCTGGAGTGTAGTGGTATGATCTGGGCTCAGTGCAACCTCCACTTCCTGGGTTCAAGCGATTATTCTGCCTCAGCCTCCCGCATAGCTGGGACTACAGGCACGCACCACCACACCCGGCTAATTTTTGTATTTTTAGTAGAGACGGAGTTTCGCCATATTGGCCAGGCTGGTCTCGAACTCCTGACCTCGTTGATCTGCTGGCCTTGGCCTCCCAAAGTGCTGGGATTACAGGCGTGAGCCACCATGCCTGGCAACAATTTTTATTTGTCAATAAATTTGTTTTTAAATAAAAAATTAAAAAACTGAGGTGACAGTTGCAAAGCTCTGTGAGTATTCCAAAATTCACTGAATTGTACATTTAAATGCATGAAATGTATGCTAGTGAATAAAGCTAAAAATTTAAAAGAATTACTTAAGGAAACTGAAGTAATATTATACACGTTATACCAGCAAAAAATAATACAAAATAGTGTTTTGATGGTTTCAAAGGATTGTGGCCAATTAGGTTACACTCACATGTTGCTGATATTATAAAACTATTTTTTATGGAAAACAAACTAGCAACATATACACCATAAAACTTGATTTCTTTTGGGCTAGCAATTCTGTCTCCCCAGTGGAAATAACCCAAAAAGAAGTGAAGTGAATTTTATACAGTTGCTCATCCCAACTTCAGACCAAGTACGCTCCCTATTTCATGCCCCCTAACCTCAGATAAGTGCTCTCTTCACCCCTCAAAGACAGAATGTCACAATGGGACTGCACCCCATCTCAAGAGGAAGGCTAACAACTTCTCTTGGTAGCAGTCAAGGCTCTCTTCCTCTGTGGCTCACTCTTGCCTCTATCATGAAATCCAAAATGTAGAGGACGACAGCACGGACCAGGAAATGGAAAACATGGAAGGACACCTGATTAAGGGGTCCCATGTGGTTCGGTGTACCCAGGTAAAACGGGTAAAAGACGAAACAGAGAACTGATGCAGAAGCTTCTGTAAGAATACATTTGCTTCTGCTTGTGTGCCACCTCCCACGTATTCCTTAAAAGCAAGTGCAGCCATAGACACTGGCCAGACCAAGGGCACTTAAACACAGCTAGTAGGAAAAATGGAAATAAGCTCTCTGAGATATAGGAAAAAAATCTACTTTTTCCTCCTTTCACTCACCACTCAACACTTCTAAAAACAGATGTGGAGGGGTATTTCCCCATACACCAACCAAGCAATTCTGCAGAGGACATCAACTGGGTGTCCCCTAATTCCATTCAGTTCAACTGTGACACTATCTACCTGGATATAGTGTCAGGTCCCACAGATTAAAGGCTCAGTCCCACAAGACTGCACCTACTTCAGATGCCAATCTCAAGCCCTAGGTTATGGTCTGTGCTTCTGACAAACTGGCTATAAATCAGGGTCCCCACTCTACCCTCTCCTTTGGTTTAATTTGCTAGAGCACCTCACAGAAGTCAGAGAAATACTTTACTCACATTTACTGTTTATTATAAAGGATATTACAAAGGATATAGATGAATAGCCAAATAAAAATAATAAAAATTTTTTAAAAAGACAAAAAAAGAACAAAAATTAAAAAAAAAAAAAAAAAAAAAAAAAAGATGAACAGCCAAATAGAAGAGATGCATGGGGTAAGTTATATGGGAAAAGGCGTGGAGTTTCCACACCCTCTCCAGGTGCACCACCCTACAGGAATCACCATGTGTTCAGCTATTTGGAAACTCCTCAATCAGGTCCTTTTGGGTTTTGATGAAGGCGTCATTATATAGACATGATTGATTAAACCACTGGCCATTGGTGATAAACTCAACCTTCACCTGCTGTCCCCTACCTGGAGGTAAGGTGGTAGGAATAAAAGTTCCAACCCTCTGATCATATGGTTGGTTGCCTTGGTAACCAGCCCCCATCCTGAGGCTATCCAGGAGCTCCCAACCACTTGTCATCTCATTAGAATACAAAAAGACACCTTGGAGATTCCAAGGGCTTTAGGAATTGTGTGCCAGCAAAGAGCAAGAAGACCAAATATTTCCTATTATAAATCACAATATCACACAAGTAATTCCCTATAGCTAAACAAATGATGTCAACAGAACAGAATGTTATTAACCACTAAAATAATAATATTTGAACTAGTTTTTCCATATAAAGTCACTTAAAGAATATGAAAGCACATCTGTAAACCCACCACTTTGGGAGGCTGAGGCAGGAGGATCGCTTGAGGCCAGGACTTTGAGACCAGACTGGCCAACACAGTAAGACACTCCTCTCTGTCAAATGAAAATAAAAATTTTAAAAAGAATAAAAAGAATATGAAAGCCAAGTTGTATATGCACATTAAGGATAATCATGTAAAATACTGTGTACACATAATGATTAATTTTAGTTGTGAATTTGGAATGATATAAAATCTCAATTATTTAATGTTTGTTAGACTCCCTTTTCCCTTTTAAAGCTGCTTAAGAGGTCTGGTGTGGTGGCTCATGTCTGTAATCCCAGCACTCTGGGAGGCCAAGGCGGGCAGATCACCTGAGGTCAGGAGTTTGAGACCAGCCTGGCCAACATGGCGAAACCCCATCTCTACTAAAAAATACAAAAATTAGCTGGGCGTGGTGGCAGGCATCTGTAATCCCAGCTATTCAGAAGGCTGAGGCAGGAGAATCACTTGAACCCGGGAGGCAGAGGTGGCAGTAAGCCAAGATTGTGCCACTGCACAGAGCAAGACTCTATCTCAAAAAAAAAAAAAAAAAAGGTTGCTTAAGATTTTTCTATTTTTTAGAGTTGGGGTCTTGCGTTGCTGCCCAAGCTGGACTTGAACTCATGGCTTCAAGCCATCCTCCCACCTCAAGTCTCCCAAGTAGCTGGAATTACAGGCCCAAGCCACCATGCCCAGCTGATTCTTTTTTTTTTTTCTCTCTGAGACGGAGTCTCTGTCACTCAAGCTGGAGTGCAGTGGAATGGCACAATCTCAGCTCAATGCAACCTCCGCCTCCCCGGCTCAAGCGATTCTCCTGCCTCAGCGTCCTGAGTAGCTGAGATAACAGGCACATGCCACCACGCCTGGCTAATTTTTGTAGTTTTCGTAGAGACGGTGTTTCACCATGTTGGCCAGGCTGGTCTCAAACTCCTGACCTCAAGTGATCCGCCCGCCTCAGCCTCCCAAAATGCTGGGATTACCAGCATGAGCCACCTCGCCCAGCCTGATTATTTTTTTTAAAGGAATGAGGCATAGAGAATGTCTAGTGAAAGTATCCCAAAGTGATTTTTCTTCCTTCCTTTATGCAATTAACATTTAATAAACATTATGCTAGTCACTGGAGATACAGTGATAAATACGAACTTTGTTTTCATAAACTTTTTTTTTTTTTTTTGAGGCACGGTCTCACTCTGTTGCCCAGGCTGGAGTGCAGTGGCATGATCACAGCTCACTACAGCTTCGACCTCCTGGGCTCAAGTGATCCTCCCACTTCCCGGGCTCAAGTGATCCTCCCACCTCCCGGGCTCAAGTGATCCTCCCGCCTCAGCCTCCAGAGTGGCTGGTGCACCTTAACACTCACCTAATTTCCTTTTTTTGGTATTGATGGCATCTTTCTGTGTTGCCCAGGATGGTTTCAAACTCCTGGGGTCAAGTGATCCTCCTGCCTCAGCCTCCCAGTGTGCTGGGATTATAAGTATGAGCCATGGCACCCAGCCCATAAGCTTACTTTTTACTAAGGAAGACAGATAATCTAATAACTACACAAATGTAATTATTACTTTCAATTGGGATAAATGCTGAATGTCAAGAGGAAAATATCAAAGAGAGGTCTGGACTAGTCTGAGGGTTCAGGGTGATTTACCAAAGGAAATCTCTTTAAAGCAGGCATCTAGGGAATAACAGGGATTACCAGGTAAAGGGAAAGGAGTGGGAAGAGGCTTTTAGATAGAGGGCCAACATGTATGAAGGCTTGCTTTAATATGTACCTGGGACTCTGTTTTAACCAGGTATGGTAAAATGATAGATACGAAGACAACTGCCTTGAAAGAAGAATTTCTTACAGTTGCCGAGAGGGGAGGGCACAATATGCCAAGAAGGGTCGCATGGGGAAGCACAAGAGTTGGTCAAGAGGGCAAAGGAGCAAGGAAGAGCATGGCCCAGAGTCTTCTTTTTTTTTTTTAAGGAAGAAGTATCTTTGGTTTCCACAGGAAAGAACGGGCAAGGCAGGGTAGGTAACCTTGAGTATATTACATGACAGCTTTAATAATGTCAGAGGGCTCTGATATACAGGGGTGGTTCTTAAGTTGTGCAGCATCTGGCCCTGAGGTGATTTAAGGCAGGGGAGTGTGAGTTAGATAGAGGAGGAGTTTAGGGATATGGGCTTTGGATTGGTTGGTTTGTATATGAATGGCAAGACTCAAATGCAAGTTGTTATCTCTAAAAATAAGCAAATCCTGCCAGGGACAGTTACTCTAGGATTCACAAGCCCCCTAAGATGTCAAAACATCCTAAAATACACTAAATTAAAAACATGATTCATACAAAGATTAAGCAGAAGGGGGCACTGATGTGTTACAAAAGACAGACATCCACTGAGGCAACAGTGTGAGGGTAATTGGCAGGCTTCTCTGAGCCTGGACAGGTAAAGGAGTCAGGTTATGTAGCTTCTTTTTTTTTTTGAGACAGAGTCTTGCTCTGTTGCCCAGGCTGGAGTGCAGTGGCGTGATCTCGGCTCACTGCAACCTCGGCCTCCCGGGCTCAAGTGATTTTCCTGCCTCAGCCTCCCAAGTAGCTGGGACTACAGGCATGTGCCACCACGCCTGGCTAATTTTTTTGTATTTTTAGTAGAGACGGGGTTTCACTATGTTGGCCAGGCTGGTGTCAAACTCCTGACCTCAGGTTATCCACCCACCTCGGCCTCCCAAAGTGCTAGGATTACAAGCGTGAGCCACCGTGCCTAGCCCAGGTTATGTAGCTTCTTAGACCATGTCAAGGCTGATTGGTCTCAATTCCAAAACTAATGGGAAGCCATTAAACCACTTTAAGCAAGGTGACACAATTAGTTGCTGTTATAAGAAGAATCACTCTGGCATTCTGGCTGCAGTGTGAAAAATGGCTTAAAGGGGCAAAGTGTGTATGCAAGGGTACCTACCCCATTAGGAAAGAAACAACGGTGATTCAGACTAGGTAGACTTCCCTGGAATTACTAAGACATGGACTGAATTGAGAGGTATTTAGGAGGTGGGATCCACAGGACCTGGTAGAGGCAAAATTCTCAAGACTGTGCTTTCTAGCATGAAATGAGTAAGTAGACAAAATATTTACTTCCCTGGAGGAAAAAGAGGTTTTTTGGTTTTTGTTTTTGCTTTGAAGTTGGGAGTGTTCGAAGTGAAGATCATTAATTCAATTTATATTATAATCCTAGTTGTTCCATCATTTTTCCTCCCCTAAAATCTTTTTTTTTTAAAGACAGAAAGAAATTAATGAACACCCAAATAAGTAGAAAGACATCATGCATTCATGGATCAGTGTATTAGGATATTGTTTTCATCAGAATTCTCCAGAGAAACAGAACCAACAGGATACATACATATCTATGAAGAGATTTATTATAAGGTATTGGCTCATGCAGTTAGAGAGGCTAAGAAGTCCCATTATCTGCCATCTGCAAGCTGAAGACTCAGAAAAGCCAGCAGTGTGGTTCCAGTGAATGAGAGCAGGTAAGCTGACAGTAGAGATTCTAGTCCAGATCTGAAGGCCTGAGAACCAGGAACTCTGAGGACAGGAGAAGAATGATGCTCCAGCTTAAGCAGTCAGAGTTAGTTCAACCTTCTTCTTCTTCTTTTTTTTGTTTTTTTGTTTTTTTTTTTTTTTTTTTTGAGACAGAGTCTTGCTCTGTCACACAGGCTGGAGTGCAATGCCGCGATCTTGGCTTACTGCAATCTCCGCCTCCCGGGTTCAAACAATTCTCTTGCCTCAGCTTCCTGAGTAGCTGGGATTACAGGTGCCTGCCACCACACCCGGCTAATTTTTGTATTCTTAGTAGAGACGGGGTTTCACCACGTTGGCCAGGCTGGTCCTGAACGTCTGACCTCAGGTGATCTGCCCGCCTCAGCCTCCCAAAGTGCTGGGATTACAGGTGTGAGACACCGCACCCAGCAACCTTCTTCTACATTTTGTTCTCCTTAGGCCCTCAATGGACTGGATGATGCCCACCCACATTAGAGAAGGACATCTGCTTTTTTCAGTCCACCAATCCAAAAGCTAATCTCTTCTAGAAACACCCTTGCAGACACACCCAGAAATAACGTTCAACCAGCTATTTAGACATCCCATGGCCTAGTTAAGTGGACACATAAAATGAACCATCACAGAAGACAATACTCCCCAAATTGATCTACAGACTCAAAGCAATCCCTATCAAAATCCCTATCAAAATCTTCTGTGCAGAAACTGACAAGCTGGTTCTAAAGTTCATATGAAAATTCATGGGACCCAGAAGAGCCAAAACAATCTTAAAAAAGAAAAACAGGCCAGGTGGGGTGGCTCACACCTGTAATCCCAGCACTTTGGGAGGCTGAGGCGGGAGGATCACAAGGTTAGGAGATCAAGACCATCCTGGCCAACATGGTGAAACCCTGTCTCTACTAAAATACAAAAAATTGTTCAGGCATAGTAGCTCATGCCTGTAATCCCAGCACTTTCGGAGGCCGAGGTGGGTGGATCACCTGAAGGTCAGGAGTTCAAGACCCACCTGGCCAATATGGTGAAACCCCGTCTCTGCTAAAAATACAAAATATTAGCCAGGTGTGGTGGTGGGTGCCTGTAGTCCCAGCTACTCAGGAGGCTGAGGCAGGGGAACCACTTGAACCCGGGAAGTGGAGGTTGCAGTGAGCCAAGATAGCGCCACTGCACTCCAGACTGGCGACAGAGCAAGACTCCATCTCAAAAAAAAAAAAAGAAAAACAGATTGGAAGACTCACACTTGCTCATTTCAAAACTTATTACAAAGCTACAGTAATTAAGAGAGCGAGGTACTAGCATGACAGATATACAGATTGCTAGAATAGAGTTGAAAGTCCAGAAATAAACCCTCATATTTATGGTCAGTTGGTTTTCAACAAGAGTACTAAGACAAACCAATGAGGAAAGAATTATCTTTTCAACAAACAGTGCTGGTTCATGTCCCTTCGTGGTCAAATATTTCTGGTCTCTCTTAAAAAAAAAAAAAGTGCTGACACGACTGTATATTCACTTGCAAAAGAGTGAAGTTAGGTCAGGTGTGGTGGCTTGCACCTATCGTCCCAGTTACTTGGGAGTCTGAGACAGGAGAATCACTTGAGCCCAGGGAGTTTGAGATTGTAAAAAAGAATGAGTTGGGCCCTGTGATGGATAATTTTAGGCGTCAACTTGACTGGATAGAGGAATGCCTAGATGGCTTGTGAAGCATTGTTTCTGGATATGTCCTTGAGGGTGTTTTCAGAGGTAACTAGCAGGTGAGTCTGTGGACTATGTGGTGAAGATCTGCCCTCAATGTGGGTGGGCACCATCCATTCAACAAGGAGCCCAGATGGAACAAAAAAGCAGGTGAAGGACAAATTCTCTCTCTCTCCTGCAAAGCAGGACACCCTTCTTCTCCTGCCCTCTGACATAAGAACTCCAGGTTCTTCAGCCTTTGTACTCTGAGACTGCACCCATGGCTTCCTGGGCTCTCAGGCCTTGGGACTGACAAGTATACCAATGGCTTCCTTGGTTGTCGGGCCTTCCAGCTTGGATTGAGCCATGCTACCAGCTTCTCTGGTTCTCCAGTTTGTAGACAGCCTATCATGGGAACTCTCAGCTTCCATAATCTTGTGAGCCAATTCCTCTTATAAGTCCCCTCTCATATATATGTGTGTGCATGTCTGTGGGTGCATGCCTATGTGTGTGTTTGTGTTTCTGTCTCTCTAAAGAATCTTGATTAATACAGACCCCTTCCTCATACGCATACATAGAGTTTAACCCAAAATGTGTTACTGACTTAAATGTTAGAGCAAAACTATAAAACTCTTAGCAGAAAATATACGACTAAATCTTCATGACCTTAAGTGAGGCAAAGCCTTCTTAGATATGAGTCTGAAAGTATTGAAAGTATACGTGACAAACAAAAAAAGAGATAAATCGGACTTTATCAAAATTAAAAACTTTTGTGCTTCAATGGATACTATCAAGAGAATAAAAAGACAACCTACAGCATAGAAGAAAATATTTATAGATCATACATCCAGCAAGAAGCTTATATCAAGAATATATAAACAACTCTTACAACTCAGTAATAAAAACACAGATAATCCAACTTTTAAAATGCACAAGAAATCTGAATAGACATGTCTCCAAAAAAGACATGCAAATGACCAATAAGCACATTAAAAACATGCTCAACATTATTAGCCATAAGGAAATACAAAAGAAAACCACAAGGAGATATCACTTTACACCAACTAGAATGGCTATAACCAAAAAGACAGATAATAACAAGTGTTAGTGAGGATGTGGAAAACTGGAACCTTCACACACTGATGGTGGGATTGGAAAATGGTAAAGCCACTTTGGAAAATAGTTCGGTAGTTCCTCAAAAGGTTAAACATATACTTACTGTATGACCTAGTAATTTTACTCTTATGTATATACCCAAGAGAAACAAAAACACAGTCCACACAAAAACATATACACAAATGTTCATAGCAGAAGTATTGCTAATAGCCAAGTTGTGTAAACAACCCACATGTCCATCATCTGATGAACAGATAAGATACTGTATCCATACAATGTAACATTATTCAGCAATAAAAAGAAGTATAAACTACAACATGATGAGCCTTGTAAACACATACTAAATGAAAGAAGCCAGACACAAAAGGTCATATATTATGCCAGGCACAGTAGCTCCCACCTACAACCCCAGCTACTCAGGAGGCTGAGGCAGGAGGATCCCTGGAATTCAAGACCAGCTTGGGCTGTCTCATAGCAAGAGGTGACCTTGGGTGGGGAAAAGCCTTCTTAGATATGAGTCGGCCAGGTGTGATGGCTCACACCTGTAATCCTAGCACTTTGAGAGGCTGATGCGGGTGGATCACCTGAGGTCAGGAGCTTGAGACCAGCCTGGCCAACATGGTGAAACCCCATCTCTACTAAAAATACAAAAATTAGCTGGGTGTGGTGGTGCACGCCTGTTAATCCCAGCTACTCGGGAGGTTGAGGCATGAGAATCTCTTGAATCCAGGAGGTGGAGGTTGCAATGAGCTGAGATTGAGCCCCTGCACTCCAGCCTGGGGGATAGAGTGAAACTGTCTGCCAAAAAAAAAAAAAGAGAGCCTGAAAGTATGAGAGTATAAATGACAAAAGATAAAACAGAACTCATCTCTAAATAAATAAATAAATAACAGTTTATTCTTTGCAATGATTCATAAATAAACAATTTTAAAATGTTTTTTTAAAAAATTTTAATTAGCCGGGCATGGTGGCACACACCTATGGTCTCAGCTACTCAAGAGCTCTCAGCTGAGGTGAGAGGATTGCTTGAGCCCAGAAGGTCAAGGCAGCCGTGAGCTATGATTGCCCCACTGCATTCCAGCCTGGGCAACAGTGCAAGACTCTGTCTCTTAAAAACAACAAAAAAGAATAACATATTGTATGTTTTTATTTATATGAAATGGCCAGAATAGGCAAATCTATAGGAACAAAAAGTAGATTACTGGTTGTATACAGCAGAGGGTGGGGTGAGGAGGGGAAATGGGGAATGATTGCTAATTATACCATAGGTTCAGGGTTTCTTCTGGGGATGAAAATGTTGTAAAACTGATTGTAATGACAGTTGCAGAATTCCGTGAATATACTAAAAATAATTTAGTTGTACTCTTTAAGTGAGTAAATTGTATAGTGTGTGAATATAATAAAACTGTTAAATTTTTTAAGTATATGGAGACAGATGTAGTGGCTCACACCTGAAATCTCAGCACTTTGGAGGCCAAGATAAGAGTATTGCTTGAGTCCAGGAGTTCAAGACCAACCTGGGCAACATGGCAAGACCCCATCTCTACAAAAAACAAAAAAATTAGCCGGGTGTGGTGGTGCATACCTGTGGTCCCTGCTAGTTGGGAAGCTGAGATGGGAGGACTGCTTGAGCCCAGGAGGTCGAGGCTGCAGTGAGCTGTATTCACACCACTGCACTCAGCCTCAGCAATAGAGATCTCATTTCAAAAAAGTTAAAAATTAATAAAATGAAGTCCACAGTCCTTCACTCAGCTTGCCGCAGTAGTGACGTCTTTAATAGCTGCAATATAATATCAAAAGCAGGACATTAACATTGGTACATTGCTGTTACCTAGACAGCAGATCAATAAGCGATCCTTTGTACGGGCACTCTTTCACTTCCTACTTTATATACTTCTGTTTCAACTATTTAGAATGTTGATAAAAATAGGCCAGGCGCAGTGGCTCACGCCTGTAATCCCAGCACTTTGGGAGGCCGAGGCGGGTGGATCACGAGGTCAGGAGATCAAGACCATCCTGGCTAACACAGTGAAACCCCATCTCTACTAAAAATACAAAAAATTAGCCGGGCGTGGTGGCGGTTGCCTGTAGTCCTGGCTGCTCGGGTGGCTGAGGCAGGAGAATGGCGTGAACCCGGGAGGCGGAGCTTGCAGTGAGCCGAGATCGCGCCACTGCACTCCAGCCTGGGCGACAGAGCAAGACTCTGTCTCAAAAACAAACAAACAAACAACAACAACAAAAGTTAATAAAAATAATAAAGTTGCTCATTTTTTAAAAATGTCTTCAATAATGAAAAAGATAATCAGCCTCTACATAACAAAAAAAAAAGAACAGTTTGACACCAGGCTGGCCAGTCTGGTGGGACCCCATCTCTACTAAAAATACAAAAAATTAGCTGGGTGTGGTGGTGTACGACTGCAATCCCAGCTACTCGGGAAGCTGAGCCAGGAGAATCACTTGAACCCAGGAGGCAGAGGTTGCAGTGAGCCAAGATAGTGCCACTGCACTCCAGCCTAGGCAACAGAGTGAGACTCCGTCCCAAAAAAAAAAAAGCCACTAAGTTTACAGTACTATGTCAAAACAGCAACAGGAAACTCATACAGTCGTTCAGCAACCTATGAAACAGTTAACAAAACAGACACATGGGGCCAATTTCCCTACTGCACCAATCTGATTCCAAGCACTGAGACTTTTTTTTTTGCAACAGGGTCTCACTCCATCACCCGAACGGAAGTGCAGTGGCGCAATCATGGCTCAATGCAGCCTCAACCTCCCAGGCTCAAACGATCTGCCCACATCAGCCTCTCGAGTAGCTAGGACTACAGGCACACACCACCACACCTGTCTAAATTTTTAATTTTTTGTTGAGACTGGGTCTCACTCTCTTGTCCAGGCTGGTCTTGAACTCCTGGGCTCAAGCAATCCTGCCTTGGCCTCCAAAAATGCTAGGATTACAGGCAAGAGCCACCATGCCCAGCTGAGCCTCTTAATAGCAGGGGGTAAATTGACATAAAGAGTTATGCTTGTCATGGCCATAGGAAAAAGTTAGAAGTAAAGAAAAGACTGTATGACCTCTGGGAGAAGTAAAGCAAGACGCCAGCTCGTAGAGCCAAAGTCCCTGTGCCTAATGGCTTCTTATCTGCAGTCTTCAGCAATGTATACGTTTTCACTAAATCTTATTTATCTAGAAGTAGCATAAGTGAGTCTGTTCCTTTCAAAAAGAGATCAACTACAGGGCTAAGCACAGTGGCTCATGCCTGTAATGCCAGCACTTCAAGGAGGCCAAAGTCAGAGGATTGCCTGAGCCCAGCAAAATTGAGACCAGCCTGGGCAACACAGCGAGACCTCATCGCTTAAAAAAAAGAAAAAGAAAAGAAAAGGAGGTCAACTAGAAATAAATAAAGATCTCATACATAGCCTCTCTTATAAAGTGGATCTGAAAGAATTTGCAATCTTATTTTACTATCTTAAAGCTTTATTTACTGAATTTGCAATCCTGTTTTACTATCTTCAAGCTTTATTTACTACTGGGAAGTAATCTGAACATTTGAAAGCACCTGAATCACATACATGTACTACTATTATCTGTTCCCTCTACAACATTCCTTAATTACACTAGTGAATAAAAACAAAGGCAATCTATAATTAAAAGGTATCAATATATAACTGCTCAAATATTTACCAATCTATAAGGGACTGCACAATAAGATTCAGATACAACATGAAAAATAATAAAATAAAGTTATTTTTCACCAAGTTACAACATCCTGATTCTTACCATGTAAGGATCCACAGAAAGATAAAGAGTTCTAACTTGTACTTGTCCTTCATTAATATTATCTGGTAAATAGACTTCTTCCATTCGGAAATTCTCTGCCACTGGATTACCATTTTTTCCTAAAATATTATGCAAAAATATAAAGTTAAAAAAAGCCACTTTGCTATATACTATTATTATTATTATTATTTGAGACAGAGTCTTGCTCTATCACCCAGGCTGGAATGCAGTGGCGCGATCTCGGCTTACTGCAACCTCTGCCTCCTGGGTTCAAGTGATTCTCCTGACTCAGCCTCCCGAGTAGCTGGGATTACAGGCATGCACCACCATGCCCGGCTACTTTTTAATATTTTTAGTAGAGATGGGGTTTTACCATGCTGGCCAGGCTGGTCTCAAATTCCTGACCTCACGATCTGCCCACCTTGGCCTCCCATAGTGGTGGGATATACTTATTATTCTTTAAAGGGTCACTCTAGGATTCAGAACAGTTCCTTTTAAAACAGGCACAAGGGGCCAGGCGTGGTGGCTCATGCCTGTAACCCCAGGACTTTGGGAGGCTGAAACAGGTGGATCACGAGGTCAGGAGTTTCAGACCAGCCTGGCCAACATGGTGAAACCTTGATTCTACCAAAAATACAAAAACTAGCCAGGCGTGGTGGCGCACGCCTGTAGTCCCAGCTACTCGGGAGGCTGAGGCAGAAGAATCGCTTGAACCCGGGAGGTGGAAGTTGCACTGAGCCGAGATTGTGCCACTGCATGACAGAGCGAGACTCCGTGTCAAAAAAAAAAAAACAGGCACAAGTAAATCTATATTGTTTTGTAATTCTTCTGTAACTATAGAAATGACTCAGTATGTATTTCTTTTTTTTTTTTAGAGACAAGGTCTTACTCTGTCACCCAGGATGGAGCGCGGCTAAACTTTCCTTCCTTATTTTAAGAAGCAAATAGAAACTTAAATGAATATAAAAGTAATAATAATAAAGTCTGAAAAAGTGGAAAATTAAAAAATTTGAGGCATGAGAAAAATTTGTAAGGAAAGGTCATCATTATAGAAACTTAAACGAATATAAAAGTAATAATAATGAAGTCTGAAAAAATAGGAAGTAGGAAATTAGAAAAATTTGAGGTATGAGAAAAATTTGTAAGAAGGAAAGGTTACCACTAGAAGGTACTCATATTCAGATATGTTTAATGCAAATTTACTCTTCATAGAATTGTTAAATTTATAAGGTGGGAATAGTACATAAAGATCTTAATCTAACTGCTCATTTTACTAAAATTGAGTTCAGAAAAGTTAAGTGACTTCCTCAAGTGGGCAGCAGTGACCCAAATCTCTCAGGTTCTTTCCATATCTGTTTTTATGATGCAGTTTACATGTCAGCACTGATATGTTAGTACATTTCACATAAAAAAGAAAAGCAAATTTTAAGGACCAATAATAACATACTCTAAAGAAACAAAAGCCACATATATTTGTAATGTAACCTTTCAGACATTATGATTCCAAAATACCTTATTTCATCAACAAATGCCTGGATAAGTTATCACTTGAAAAACTAGCACACTGTTTAAAAATGGTCTTGATAAGCTAACACTTGAAAATTATTACATCGTTTAAAGAGTTTCTTCTAATATCTTTACTAGTGTCAATATCTTACTACCTTAATTTACCACATGAACATCACATTAGTTTTTATTCCTCCATTTGCATTAATACTTATCAAAGATCAGAGTTGTTCATTCATCGCAAATACATACCAGGTCGAGAATTCAATACCACTCTTTGAACAATCATTGCTCTGGTTGGGCAGTGGTTTCACAAGATTTCTGTATAAAATACTCCTATAAATAAAAAAATTTTTAAATCACAAGATTTGAAGTATTCAACAATTTAAAAATAAAAAAGAAGTCCATTTGTGTTTCCCAATGAAGAGGGAGAAAAATCACATTTAGGATCCAAAAAGATAAACTCGCCTGTCAGAGTTTGCCTCCTAAAGCAAATATATGAAGAAAGACTAAATCTAGTTAGAATTTTTAACTAATAGGAACAAGTTCATTGAAGATTAAGTGGGGCAAAATGTTTGTTTATTTATTTATTTATTTTAAAGACGGAGTCTCGCTCTGTTGCCCAGTCTGGAGTGCAGTGGTGTGATCTCTGCTGACTGCAAGCTCTGCCTCCTGGGTTCACGCCATTCTCCTGCCTCAGCCTCCCGAGTAGATGGGACGACAGGCGCCTGCCACCATGCCCAGCTAATTTTTTTGTATTTTTAGTAGAGACGGGGTTTCACTGTGTTAGCCAGGATGGTCTCAATCTCCTGACCTCGTGATCTGCCCGCCTCAGCTTCCCAGTGTTGGGATTACAGGCATGAGCCACCACACCCGGCCCTAGTGGGGCAAGATGTTTTTGGTCTCAGATAATTCAAGCTCATTCATCTTCAAGCACACCATCATGATTAAGCCTCCTATGGCTCGATTAAAAGAAAACAACACAAGGCTGGTCCAAAGGTAGTGAGTTATATCACCTGATTGTTCAGTCAGTTACAGGCCAAACCCCTTGTTCTACTCTTTTCCCTTCTCAATACTGCACTTGTTTTTAAATAAAGACAAGAAAAAAACATAAAACAAACAACATGATATATTCCTCCAGAGCTAGCAGTTAATCTAGTGGCAAAATAAAAACGCTAACTGCAGCTGGGCGCGGTGGCTCACGCCTGTAATCCCAACACTTTGGGAGGCCGAGGCGGGTGGATCACAAGGTCAAGAGTTCAAGACCATCCTGCCTAACATGGTGAAACCCCGTCTCTACTAAAAATACAAAAAAATAAGCCAGGCGTGGTAGCGGGAGCCTGTAGTCCCAGCTACTCCGGAGGCTGACGCAGGAGAATGGCGTGGACCCGGGAGGCGGAGCTTGCAGTGAGCCGAGATCGCACCACTGCACTCCAGCCTGGGCAACAGAGCGAGATTCTGTCTCAAAAAAAAAAAAAAAAAAAAAACACTAACTGCTTAATTGACATGTAATCAAAAAAATTTTTTTTTTGGAGTGGGGGACAGAATCTTACTCTGTCACCCAAGCTGGAGTGCAGTGGCGCGATCTCAGCTCACCGCAACCTCTGCTTCCTGGGTTCAAACAATTCTCCTGCCTCAGCTTCCCAAGTAGCTGGGATTACAGGCGTGCACCACGGTGCCCTGCTAATTTTTTGTATTTTTAGTAGAGACAGGGTTTCACCATGTTGGCCAGGCGGGTCTTGAACTCCTGACCTCAAGTGATCTGCCCACCTTGGCCTCACAAAGTGCTGGGATTACAGGCATGAGCCACCAAGCCCAGCCACGTAACCAAATTTTCAAAGGCTCTTCTATTCGTTCATCAAAATGGAAATTCCTTTGCCTTCTTATCAGTGGTGAATTAAAAAAAAAAAAAACGGAAATTCCTTTATAGTTTAGCTGACAATAAAAGTAATATATCAAGGAATTTAAAAATCCTTACCTTATAGGAAATTCCATATCACAATATGGCCAATAAGTAAAGGATCAGTTTATTCTGTTTTGTTTTTTGAGATGAGGTCTCGCTATGTTGCTCAGGCTGGTCTCGAATTCCTGGGCTCAAGTGATCCTCCCATCTCGACCTCCCAAAGTGCTGGGATTACAGGCGTGAGCCACTACATCTGGCCAGTTTATTCTGGATTTAGAATTTGAGCTAATGAAGAAAGCAAAAGAACTTCCAGTACTAGCACTATCTGACTTGCTGAAAATCACTTTGCTTACTTTATCCACCAGTGAAAATTAGAAAATCAAGCCCTTAGTGTTACTATGTGCCAAGCACTCTTGTGAGTGCTTTGTACAGCTTGACTACTGGGATACATGCTGAGAAATGTGACATTAGGTGATTTAATCATTGTGTGAACATCAGAGTATACTTACACAAACCTACATGGTACAGATTACTAGACACCTAGGTGATATGGTTTAGCTTATAACTTCTACGGTACAAACCTATATGGCATGTTGCTGTACTGAATGCTGCAGACAACTGGAACACGATGGTAAGTATTTGTGTATCTAAACATAGAAAAAGTACAGTAAAAATATGGGGTAAAAGATTTAAAAATGGGCTGGGAGCGGTGGCTCACCCTTGTAATCCCAGCACTTTGGGAGGCCAAGGCGGGCAGATCACCTGAGGTCAGGAGTTCGAGACCAGCCTGGCTAACATGATGAAATCCTGTCTCTACTAAAAATACAAAAAAAAATAGCCGGTGGGCAGGTGGCCCATGCCTGTAGTCCCAGCTACTTGGGAGGCTGAGGCAGGAGAATCGCTTGAACCCTGGAGGTGGAGATTGCAGTGAGCCAAGATTGCGCCACTGCACTCCAGTCTGGGTGACGAGTGAAACTCCGCCTCAAAAAAAACAACAACAAAAAAGATTTTAAAATGGTATACCTATATAGGGTAACTTACCATGAATGGAGCCTACCAGATTAGAAGTTGCTCTGGATGAGTCAGGGAGTGAGTGGTGAGGGAATGTGAAAGCCTAGGACATTACTGTAGGCTACTTAGACTTTATTAACACTATGCACTTAGACTACACTAAATTTCTTTCTTTTTTTTTTGAAACAGAGTCTTGCTCTGTCGCCCAGGCTGGAGTGCAGTGGCGCAATCTCAGCTCACTGCAACCTCTGCCTTCCAGATTCAAGCGATTCTCCTGCCTCAGCCTCCCAAGTAGCTGGGATTACAGGTGCGTGCCACCATGCCCGGCTAATTTTTGTATTTTTAGTAGAGACGGGGTTTCACCATGTTGGTCAGGCTGTTCTCAAACTCCTGACCTCATGATCCACCCGCCTCGGCCTCCCAAAGTGCTGGGATTACAGGCATGAGCCACCGCGCCCGGCCCCACTAAATTTCTTAAAAAATAAAGTAATACTCCGGGCGTGGTGGCTCATGCCTGTAATCCCAGCACTTTGGGAGGCTGAGGCAGGTGCATCATTTAAGGTCAGGAGTTCACAACCAGCCTGACCAACATGGTGAAACCCTGTCTCTACTAAACATACAAAAATCAGCCAGGCATGGTGGTGCACGCCTGTAATCCCAGCTACTCAGAGACTGAGGCAGGAGAATTGCTTGAACTCAAGAGGTGGAGGTTGCGGTGAGCCGAGATCACGCCACTGTACTCCAGTCTGGGTGACAGAGTGAGACCCTGTCTCAATAAATAAATAATAAAAATAAAGTAATTGCACTATAACGTTCTGATGACTATGACATCACCAGGCAAGAGGAATTTTTCAATTCCATTATAATGTTATGGGAGGCTCATCGTCTGTCATTGTCTGAACCGTCATTATATGGCAAATGACTATAACCCAGCCATCACAGATTTAAACATAAACACTATGCCATTATTACACCTAATAGTAGTACTGGCAATTCCTTATCATCATCTAATACCTAGTGCATATTCAAATTTCCTGACGTTTCAGGATGTTCAAAGATATCTTTTTACAGTTGGTTTCAAAAATGTTTCAAAGATGTCTTTTTACAGTTGGTTCATTAAAATCAGGATTCAAGGTCCACATACTACAGTTTGAGTCTCCCTTCCATTTATTTCATGCCCTTGATTTGTTTCTTCATTACTTTGCTTGTAGAATGTTCTTTGATTGCTTCCTCATGGTGTCATTTACCATCACAAGGTAAATGACTAGCTTTTAAAGAAAGAAGGAAATGTTTCTTCTATCTCCTCCCCTTATCCATGACTGCTAGTTACATCTAGAGGCTTGATTACTTCAGGTTCAATTTTTCAGGCAAGAATCTTTAAGGGTGGTGCCACATCCATTCATCACACCAAGAGGTCCATAATGTCATGTAGGGCTACATATGTTTTAAAAAGGAAACTTTCTACAGAATCACCATATGTGTCAATTATATAAGGATTAAAAAGCCAAAGTTTTCCAAATTAAGTGGGTCTAAAAGTCCTTAAGTAGTAATAGAACCATAATGGCTAAATTTTCAAAGCAGTCTTTCCAAATGAAATATCATATTTGCCCTCTAATTACTGTCAATGGTATGCTTTATTTGTTTAACATATTAATATGTATATTATAGATTTGTCCAAACACTGCTTATCAGCATGAAAAATATACTATTAAAGTTCTCTCACTCTGCATTAAATTAGAAACTTTTCAAGTGTCAAATACTACAATTAATATAGGATAATTGTGTGATATCCCTCAATAGTACCAAAAAAACACACATTTCAAATATAGATAACTTGGCTGGGCACGGTGGCTCACACCTGTAATCCTAGCACTTTGGGAGGCTGAGGCAGGTGGATCACTTGAGGTCAGGAGTTTGAGACCAGCCTGGCCAACATGGTGAAACTCTGCCCTACTAAAAATACAAAAATTAACCAGGCGTGGTGGCGGGTGCCTGTAATCCCAGCTACTCCGGAGGCTGAGGCAGGAGAATCACTTGAACCTGGGAAGCGGAGGTTGCAGTGAGCCGAAACTGATCCATTGCACTCAAGCCTGGGGGACA